>NC_000006.12:99464729-99616244 GCF_000001405.40 Homo sapiens | reverse complement strand
TCTTTATGATATCTGCCCATTAGCTAGCATTTTTTTAAAACCAGTAAATATAGTCATTGCTTCTAATTTTGCTGTTCTAATTATGGGCACCCCAGTGTCCTTAAAGAGTATGCTTTCTTTTCTGTAAGATAGGACCAATACTGACAGCAGAAGACCATTGGAAGAAGTACATGGGAAAAAGAAACTTATGAGTAAAGCAAATAGATCAGCACTTCCAACAAAACAGACCCTCCTTTAGTATTTGTTGAATTAATAATAAAATATATGAATCATAAAAGACACTGAGCAAGTTTCCTTTCTTGCTTCCCAAGGAAAGTTCTGTCAAAATGGAGCACAACAAGAAATAGTGATTCTACAGTTCCATACTTTTTTTTTGACAATATGTGGGTTTTTTCTTCTTGAAGGTCATGAACTTCTTTCAGTAAACATGAAAACATTTAGCATGATTAACAATAGTTTTAGGAAACAATTGTTTTGCCTGATGTTTGGGAGCCTGTGAAATGCACATATTGAAAATGGTATATTTCCCTGTTATAATACAACACTGCTTAACATTATTTTATGAATACTCAAAGTATTCAAGTCTCCAATGATTTATTTTATTATGCAGTCTCCTCGCAAATTGTTTTCAAATTAAACTACTTCTTTAAAATATCTGCTGAAATCACTAAGTGAACAAAACTCTCGTTTGTATCTTTATTTTTCTTAAAGATTGCACAATCTGGAACCAAAACCAAAATACTATACCCACTGTACAGCAGTCATTATAAAACAACACACACCACATTTGTATTCTACCAAATAGAATATTTTCTTTAAAATTATATATTGCGTGCTCTTAGATTCATGCTTTAGATATTTTACATTTATCATTATTTTCTCATAAATAATTGCAACTTGACCAATTTGTACACCTGCTACCACTATATATTCAATGGGGCAAGGAGTAGTCTTTGACATGAGAACAGATAAAATGTAAACAAGTATATGGATGTCACATCTACCCAATTGTGACTAGTGTTTTGCCTATGCAATGAAATGCTAACGTGAAATACACACACAAAACGTCGTTTCAAAAGGCACAATTTCCTCCACAGAAAAGTACAACTTAAAAATACGTGGCAGTTAAAATCTGCGCCCTCGAAGGCGCTGTGACGTTCGCATTGATGTGATTCTGAACACCAAGAGCAGACCGCCTGGGCGGTTCAGGGTGAGCTCATCCAAGAAGTCCAGAGGCCCGGGGTGCGGAGGTACTGGTGGCACTCGAGCTCTCCAGGTGGCCAGATTTACGCCACCTCTGAACTGTTGCTCTGAGTTTCAGCACCAGATGTGGGACCTCTCACTGTTTCAAATCTGGCGCCCTCTCAAAAACAAAAACGGTTTTGTCCATTGGGTCCCTCTTCCCACCACCAGGAGTTCCTCTACTGCGAGAATAAACCCTCGACTCCTCTCTGTCCTCACCCCGCCCCTTCCCGGGAAGACTCGTTACAAGTCGCGCTCCCCGCCGCCCCCAACCTCGGGGTCGCTCTGGTCGTCTGTGAAGCAGACGTCCACGTCACTGTCGTCGCTCTTGGGATCCCCAGGCTCCGGGGGATAGCCGGGCTCGGCACCCGGGCCGTCGCCCGCTTTGGCGAGCAGACTCTGGCCAGGGTGGCGGGACTTGACATGTCGCTCCAGGTCCCGGCGGCGCACAAGTACCTTGCCGCAGAACTCGCAGCGGTAGGGCGTATTGCCCTCGGCGTGCAGCCGGATGTGCTTGTTGAGATTGCTGGGGTCGCCGAAGGGCCGCAGACAGACTTTGCACTTGAGTGGCTTGTAGCCCGTGTGCGTCCGCATGTGGATCTTGAGCCCATACTTGCGCGAGTACAGCTTGCCACAGTAGAGGCACAGGTGGCCGGTCTTGGGCTTACCTGCGCCGCTGCCTCCGCTGCCGCCGCCCCCGGTGCCTCCCGCCGCCGCGACGGCCGGTGGCAACGTCCCCGAGTCCAGGCGTCCGCGACCCTTCCCGGCAGCCATCTCGGACAGCTGCTGATTGTGCATGGCGATCTCTCGGTCGATGCTGGCCAGCGACCCCAGCTCGGCGGGGCTTAGGGCGGCCGCTGCAGGCCCGCTGAAGTAGGAGATGGACTCCGGATACTTCAGCAGCCCGCCGAAGTGCAATTTGAGCGGGTAATAAGCGGTGGTGGCCGGTGAGCCGTAGAGCAGCTCCCCGTTGTAGACTGTAAAGGCCGGCATGACGGCGGGCAGGTGGCTGCACTCACCACCCGGATAGGCTTTGAGACCGCCCGGGTCGAGGGGCGGCAGCGCGCAGCGCTCGAGGGGCAACCCCGGCGCAGGGGGCAGCTGCGCATAACGCGCTCCTGGCAGCGCGGCGGCTGCGGGCGGGGCGCGCTCCACGTGCTTGAAGGCGGACGCCTCTTCCGGGGGGACGGAGAGCAGAGGGAAGCCGCGCAGGGCCCCAGAGCAGGGCAGGCCAGGCGGCGGCGGCGGCGGCGGGTCCCCAGCGAGCAGGCACTTGGGATGGTGGTGGTGGTGCGCGTGGTGGTGATGGTGGTGACCCGCGCCGCCCGCCGCCGAGTTCTCCCCGCTCCCGGGGCGCCCGCACGCCCGGCCCCCGCCCAGCAGCCTGCCCAAAGCGAGGCCGGCTCCTTGCTTGCTGCTGCTCTCCTCCCGGTAGGGGTCGCCGTGAGCGGCCGCCGCCGCCCTCGCTAGGCCGGCGGGCTTGAAAGCTGAGCGCACGCCGGGGTAGAAAGCCAGGCTGCCGACCCCCGCCGAGGAGCCGCCCACGATGCCGAGGAAGTGCCCTTGTCCTCGGGCGGCTCCGCTCATGTCCAGGGCACGGTCCAGCTGCTCCTTGCCCTTCTTGGGCTGCCCCCACTTGCCTGGGGTCGGCGAGGTGGCCGAGGGCGCGGAAGAGGCCTCGCGCTTGATGCCCTCCCGCGCACCGCAGGCCTGAACTGGTGGCGGGCCCAGGGGGTGGGGTCGCAAAGTTCCTGCCTGGGAAGGCGCGGCGAAATCGGGCGCCGGGGGTTTTGGGGAGAGACCGAGGCCATCAGCCGCTGGGACGGCGCCTTGGCGAGCCGCGTGTTCGTGGTGCAGGAAGGCGCCGCCTCCACCGCCGCTGAACACGCAGTGGAAACGCAGGTGTGCCTTAAGGCTGTTGGGGTATCTAAACGTCCTCCAGCAGTACCAGCAGATGTAGCGCTCCTCCCCTGGGCAAGAAAGAATGGAAAAGCGACCCGGTGAGAGGCGAACAAGCGAGACATAAAGAAAGCGCCAGTGCACCCAAGGCAAAGCCCAAGTTTCGACTAGCGGTGTGGGGAGAGGGTGAAATATAAGTTCGGTAGCCCTACTGTATCGAGGACCCCGAAAAGCCCCAAATGGCCAATCCTTATCAGTGTCTCCATCCTCTGGGACTACTCGGAGGCCAAAAAAGGTGACGGGGCCTTTCCAACGAAGACTTCCTCCAGGCCATCCGAGCAAAATCTTCGTTGGAAGGGCAGCACTCAGGCAGGCTGGCCGTGTAAGAGCAAAGAGCAGCTGTTGCTTTAAATCAAGTGTTGAGGCTGTGCAGTGCCTGGGCCCATCTGTTGGCGTTTGCAGAATAGGTGGCGTATGTCAAGGAGTTTGGATAAGCTGAACAAAGACCAATCTAATGGTCGTGAGCGCCTCATTACCAGGCGAGACAATATCCTGTATGTATAGGCCATATGTAATCATTCCTTTTCACAGGACAATGTCTTTTGTGTCCCCTACCCACCCATTCCACCCCCTTCCAGCCTTAAACACTTTGCCTGAGGTTTTCCTGGAGCGTGACCAACTGAAGGACCACATAGGGACTATGATTTGCCATTCTTCAAAATTATTTGTATCTTTATTTCCTCTTTAACACCATTTAATTTGCTGGGAGAAAAGAAAAAATTCTTATGCCCTGATACTCTAAAAAGGGTGATGATAATCTAAGAAGGATGATGTTGCATTGTCTTGTCTTGTCTGCCACTTGGTAATTAATTAACTCCTAGATAGCTGCACAAATCCAAGCTTAGTAAAGTCTTTGGAGAAAATATATTAGTTTTTTATTATATGAATATATATAAATGATATAGATCGATAAATAAATATAGATACTCAGCTTTTAATAAGTGCAGAATTCTCTACCGGGCACTATATACGTGTTTGGTGTGAAATCTTTTTATGTGTTTAGTATTATTAGCATTAGTTTATTCATTTTGCCCGAGTTTGTGAACACAATCAAGAGACACATATATGAGACATTCTGATCACATACTAGAAGTTAATTTCCACTTAAAAGGGTCATATTACTGCTGTAGAGAGAAATGATCTTGCAGTTGGGTTTCTTTTAAAATGTGGTTGATTGATAATACTGAAGGGAAAGATGTCTGAGAAAGAAGTTAGTTGAACCGCAAGGAAATATCCAAAATATACATCAGTCTCATAAAATTTAACAGGAAAGTTAAATTCTCCCTCTGCATATATGAGCAGCTCAAACTTCTGAAATATTACTACAGAAATAACAATAGGGAAGAATTCCAGATCTTCTTCCCTTTATGTATATTAACTTCTGGGTTTGCATAACACAAGTAGCTCCCACCCCTACCCCATAAGACCTGTGAAAACTCAAGTGATAAGCACTGCATTCCAACTGAGTCCAAGGAGAGCAGAAAGAAAAATGGGAGAAGAGTATTTGCCTATGACACCCTACCCTAATCGTTTATAGAAGTCTTAGATAAAACCATTTCAATATTCTGTTACCTTGTACTGAACATTCATGTAAAATGAATCGTGAAAAAAAGAGAGAATAGACCTCCTGGGTTCTCTTGGTGGGTATGTTGTCTTAAATAACTTCCTTCTAACTTCAGAGCCTTTCTCTCTCTCATCACCCCTTTTGAAAGAGGGAGTTTTCAGAGTCTGCCGCAGAATGACTCAGCTCAATGCAAAGCCACATAAGCTTTTTTCTTAAAATGAGGGGGCAGTATTTTCCTCCATCTTACTATGAAATTGAAACCCACTGAAGTTAGCTAGTATTAGGAGGATAGCAGCCATCCCTATTTATTTCTTCCTCTTTCCAAGCTTTAAGCAGCATACGTTTAATATATACTTTTTTTCAGTTATCCTAACTGACATATTCTCCAGACTCTGAGATCCAAATCATGCCAAGAGTATCAAATACATTTAACAAGTGACTGCCTCCTCTTCATGTAACTCTAAGGTGGTCAAGAGTTCAAACTTCTCCAAGCTGGGGAAGTCAGGGTTCAAAATCACCCATGCCTTCTCACCTCCAGAAAAAAAAAATGTTTATTTTGACATCTGTTACCATATGATGTTTATAAGCTCAATTGGCTGAAAGGAAAACACAAGGACCGCTATTCCAGTTGCTTTTGTACTATTTGGGACTACCTAAGAAAGGGTGTTCTCTGTAGAAATGGCTGGCTTCTAAAGGTTAGTGGCCCGCCAAATTCTATAGTGGCAGATTTGAGAGTTCTCCACTATGTGGCTTTTATTATACTTCTCTTTTTACTGGAAGAAGTTGACAAGAGAATGTAATATAATGTGATGCAAGGAACAAACTATTTTAGGATAATTTGAATACTATACCTACAAAATAAACAGAATTAACTTACAGAGGACGATGATACTTTAAAGTGATTCATTGTTTTGAATAAACTTCATTCTGTGTTATTCATGAAGTGTTTCCTAATTCACATACTTGTATTGATTTCTCTAAACCTATTTCTAAAGGGATGAGATTGAGCAGGCAATTCAGGAAGACAGCATGTTAGAATATTTCACAGCATTCATTATTTTGATGTTAAATGTGTCTTTAGGAGAAATTACAGACAATTGTCAAAGAAAAAAAGCCATGGAAGCTTTGTGTGTGAAAAGGAAGTCTCCAAAACCTCAACTATTCTAGCACCTCCTAGACTTCTTTCCACAGGAAGTGTTCTTCAGTGTTCAAGGGTAGGTTTAAAAATGTTTTTCTGTTTAGTTACTGCACCTTAATTTGCATAAATCCGCTCTTGGCTTT
Source organism: Homo sapiens (assembly GCF_000001405.40). Taxonomy (NCBI): domain Eukaryota; kingdom Metazoa; phylum Chordata; class Mammalia; order Primates; family Hominidae; genus Homo; species Homo sapiens. The sequence continues at coordinate 99,610,198 of NC_000006.12, read as the reverse complement.
GAAGGGATCAAATAAATCTGAGAAGAAACTGGGATACATCCCAGATTCAACTTAAGTAGGCAAGGGGAAATGAATAAATGCCACTTAAATGGAAGGGTCTCAGTACCTGCCAACTGACCAGCTGTAAGTACCGTAATACTTCTAAAATGCTGTAGAAATGCACTGCTCTCCTGGAAAGCCAGTGGAGAAGAAATGTCCATGGACTTTGTAAAAGCATTCCAGGTTTGAGTTATACTCTGTGGAACTCATGATGTAATTACTGTAACAACAACTTAAGGCTCCTTTTTTATTTTTTATTTTTATTTATTTATTTTGAGACAGGGTCTCACTTGTCACCCAGGCTGGCATGCAGTGGTAACATTACGGCTCACTGGAACCTTGACCTCCTGGGCTCAAGTGATCCTCTTGCCTCAGCATCCTGAGTAGCTAAGACTACAGGCATGTACCGCCGCACCTGGCTAATTATTTTTTTGTTGTAGAGACAGAGGTCTCACTATGTTGCCCAGGCTGGTCTCGAACTCCTAGCCTCAAGTGATCCTCCTACCTCGGCCTCCCAAAGTGCTGGGATTACAGGTGTGAGCTACCGCGCCTAATTTTTTTTATTTTAATTGAGTAAATAATGGTCTGTTTGAATATGCAACAGAAAAAGGATGGCCCCATTAAGTTCATAGAGCCTACTTTTTCCCCTGCCATTGTGAGCCAGATTGCTACTATCACTGTTATCGTTTATGGTTGATTTTAAGGAGGTAGTGGCGACCTCTCTCCTCTTTGCCTTGAAATACAGGGAATGTGAATTCCATTTTACATAGATCGAGCTATGTCTAGGGACTCGCTTCAAGACAGGAGGAGGAGGGCTGGACTTTTGCCCATCCACGCTTTTGGAATGGGTACCTTTCTCGTCGTGAGTCGGAGTCGCTGTGGTGGGGATGTCGAACCACTGAGCCAAGGAGTTAGAATACCACACTGTCAGCTCCTCCCCTGGCTGGACGTCTCGCAATGCTCGGTAGAAGATCTGGGACGCAAGGAATAGAACAGTTCAATGTCATTTCCTGGGTAATCGGTCAAAAAGCAACTGAGAAGAAAGGTTCAAATCCGGATTCTGATGCTGTGTGACCCTGGAGAAGCTACTGGAGCTCTCTGAACCTCACTTCCGTCATCCTTCAAACGGAAAAACAATAGTAACTACCTTAAAGGGTTGTCGAGACGTTTAAATGAGACGTCTAGCTAAAGTACTTTGCTCTTAATATTTTTGGCCACCGCAGGGACGGTTAGGTAGACTGAATTGGCGGTGGGGAGTGGGGGGGTGTGGAGAGAAGCCCGCAGTACCTGTCCTCCGGGTAAGTCTGCAATAGCTTCCAGAGTCTGTTCCTGGGAGTTTCTGGCTGCCCGGATTAACCCTATCCACTCCAGAGGGGAGCCCCCCGACTCGTCCACCAGCTCCCCTCTCACCATGCGCACCTGCAACACAAGCAGTGGTCGTTCTCCCCCGCACCTTGGCCAGGCCCACAACCCAAACAGAAAGTTTATCCTCCACCCCAACCCAACACAGGAAAGTGGTTGTTTTTGGTTTGGCCAGACCACTATGGGCTACTGGGAGGAGGAGAATTCCTTAGGACCTTGCTTCGGGGAGGGAGAAAGAGGAAAGTCTACCTATGCTAACAGTACTCCCACTTCCCTGCGCCCCACCTTGACGACACGGGGAGGGGAGAGGGGTGTTGAGAGCATCCTCCCTGAGTGCTTAGGCACATCTTGTACCAAGTTGTCCCCTACCCCAGCTCTCCCATTTGCAGTTCTGAGAGCAGCCGTAACACCACGGTAGAGACATTTCTAGGTCAGTCCCAGGGCCCAGAGCGTACCCCCGACAAACAAACAAAAAAATTATCTCATGCCTCCTGTATTCTGTGTGCATCGCACCTAGTTGCCTGTGAGCCCTGCAGCTAAAGTCTCGGAACAAAGCCCAAGCGGGGAAAAGCTTGCCCGCAGCTGGCAGGCCATTTAAAAGCAATTAAAACGCGTTTAAAGAGGAATGCGCGGTGGGCACCAAACCCCGCTTTAGACTGTAGTGGGGGGCGTGATTGCAGGAGGAGCGAGGTGCAAGTCCCGCTGGCTGGACACCGGAGCTTTTTACTAGAAAGCTCCAAGCAAGGCAAGCTAAAGCCAAGGAAGCCAAAGTCCTTTCTTCTACCCCAGACTTCTGCCTTCATTTCCCGGTCGCTGTTTGCCGACCTTTGGCTCCTGGGACGCCCCCAAAGCGGGCGAGTGCTATAAGTCTCTCTGGTCAGGGGTCGCGACGGTGTGTGGAGTGTGGGAGTCAAAGCTAGTGGTTTGGCCCTGGCGCCTCCCGGTTGGGCCTCTGGACTCTCAGAGCCCCGCTGCAGACGCTCTGACCCTGTGCCCCGCGCGAATGGGCGCGCCTCGCCCTTGGAGCCCGCGTCAGAGCCAGTACCTTGCTCATCCTCTCTCCATATGCCGCATACCCACAAGCCGACATCGGCAAGGGAAAAAAAAATATCTGAGGAGGTTCTAGGAACTGAGAGCCTCCCAAAGATTTTTTTTTTCAGGAAAAAAAATTACTTTAAGGCGAAATTAGGCCTCAAATTAACATATTGAAGGGCAGAAGGGAAGAAAGGGTCTCGATGCCCTGAGCCCCCAGAAAGAGGGTGCTTTTGCAGAGAGAGCTGCGGACAGCGTGCGGGGGTGGGCTTCTGGCTTCTGACTGAGGAGACCCGAGAGCGCAGGGGAAAACACAAGCTGCGAATGGTCCCGGCACCTACAGCGCTCAGTGCACCCCACCCAGGGCTGTCGCCTCTCGGCCACATCCTCTCCTCTCAGCCCGACCCCGTCCAGCTCTCACAGTTAAAGAGGCTACTTGCTCAGAATAATAGGAGTCCCCTTCCACCCGGCAGAATTAGCAGGTAACGACTCAATCACTCCCTTCCTCCACTTTCTCTCGTACCCCTTTCCCGGGTCAGGGCACTGAGAGGCGAATGGCAGTGGGCAGAGGTCTGAATGGTCAATACCTTTTTCTTAGGCCCGGGCTCCCTGCGGTCTGACAGGTACTTGCCCAGCTTGAAGGTACCAGGCACCGGTCCGAGGCGCAAGCCGGCCGGGATGCAGCAGTCGGCACTCACGCTGGTGGCTGGCGCTCTGGCGGCTCCGTGCATTGTTGCCGCCGCCACCAGGCAGGCGCTCGGGTGCTCCAGGTCCTTGGAAGGGCGCGAGTGACAGAGCTGGAGCTGCGCGCTAGCCAGAGAGCCGCGCCCCGACGTGCGTCCTCCGCCCGCGGAGTGACGCGGGCGGGCATGCACTGCGCCTTTTCAATCGGGGCGGGAGCCTTTTGGCACCGCTAGCGCAAGGGCGCGGAGTTTGGTGAGAGAGTTGCGCTGCGAAGCAGCTGCAGAGTCCCACCCGAGAGGGTCACATGGAGTGGTTCCCTCAGCCCCCTGCATAATCGAGGCCGCTGAATGGCTAGCACACAATGGTCCAGGCGACCTTCCCATTCCTAAAAATCCAATTTGTCAAGGGCGAAGAAAAGGCACTGGTGAATCAAAGGTCCGGCGGGACCATTAATCCTCAGCATGGGGTATTGTCCTCCAGACAGTTACGATATTTTAAGTGACAAATCCACTGTATAATTTCTCCATAAATTTTACTTCCTTTTATTGTTCCCCGACAAACCAGTTTTGGGAAATAAGTGACTACTTTAAGTCTACTTGGCTGATTCCTTTGAGCCTTGATCTACTTCAAAGATTTTTAATTCTCTCCCCTTGGCTTTATTGTAAAGGAGATTAAACAAAGAGATGGAGACTGTTTGGAGGACTTGTTAACTACTATTGATTTCTGGCGTGTGCCATACAGAAATTAGGCAGGTACTTGATGGGAAAACACCAGAAAATACCTACACTTTTTAAATAACAACCATATTACCATTTCAGGGGATTGGGTTCAGGCCAGTCGTCTATTCAGAACCGCTTTAATTCTCACTTCTGTCCCATTTCGTCCGAAAATATGATGAAGCCTCCAGACCAAGTTGAGAAGGGGAGGTCAACTGCTCATCACTTTTCTCGGGCACACCCCGGGCCTGCACTTTCTCTGGAGAATGGGAAACAGCCCCAGAACCAACAGTTTCGAATGGGGATCCTGCGCCCCGGTCCGCAGCCCAGGGTTGAAGAGGAAGAAGTTCTACCAGTGGGTTATTGATCACGTCCCCTAGAAGATGTCCTTGGACTAACTTCCCTAAAACCAGCAACCTGGACTTTTCTATTAAAAAAAAAACAGTAAACAAAAACGAAAATCACCGCAATCTGTTAAAGGTTGTAGAGAAGAGGGGCGAGGTGGGCGTTTGGGACAACTCTTTCTTACACCTACTTTGTGAACTAACAAGACGTTGTACTTCAGAGTTAAACCGGAGAGCTACCCGTTTTCTTTTAGGGAAGCCTCCAATTGGCGTGAGAACATTTATTTTCATAAATAGTAGCCAAGTAATCAAGTTCATCAGATATTTGTGATTTCTGCCGGCACCTGCCGCGTGCTGCTAGTTCTGAGCACAGCTCCCCAAATCCTATGCAGCCAGCACCGGAGCCCGATGCAGTTCTTCCAAGAGAGGCCTGAGTGGTGGTGTATTTCCAAGCCTAGCGCCAGAGGCCCAACCACTGCACAAAAGGGCAGAGGGCCCTCAGCAGCGCCCACGCTAGCTTCTCCTCGAGGCTTTGTCGGCTGAAAGTGCTGGAGCGATTGTGGTTAGCAAGGGTGGCAGGACGCAAGGTGGCGACACCTGCAACTCAGCAGTTTATCTGAGGAGGGTCTTCAAAGAAGCTCCGTGTGGTGCCCCTCACTCGAAACCTATGTTCACCACACTGGGCAGGACCAGGACACTCAGGATCATTCACCCTGTGCTCTCCCACTCAAGACTCGGGGAACCTTTAGTGGATTGCTTCGGAGGCTCAGCCTCCCAGTCTGTAAAATGGGAATGATGGATACAAACAGACCCTTTGCTTCCTCTCCGTGGTTCACTTCGGTTTGTAACAACAATCTGTAGAGTGCGTGCATTCTAGAAGCTCCAAAACTGGTTGTTTGCCTAATGGGAAAATCCAGGCCAGGCCAAAGGTTTCAAGTCTAAGCATCTCAAGTCAGACCATGAGAGGACACACGGAAGGCTGGCCTCGGGCCAACTCCAGGGCCTGTGTATACATGGCTGCCGAGGCAGAGAAGAGCCGCTTGAAAGGTCTGGAGGGCCACACACTGTGGCCTCTGGGACCGTGCAGCCACACTATGCCCAGGTCACTTTCTGAGGGAGCTGCCACTGATTTTTCCTCAGAAGCCTCCAATTGCGCTTCTGAGGGCTGCGAAGACTGCCCTCAACAGAGCAGAGGGAGGCTTTGATCCAGCGGCCCATGAATGGCAAAAGCCGGGGGGTGGGGAGGAGGAGAGGAAGCCGCTCCGAAGAGTCAGGGCAATAAATTTAAGCCATGAACATGTCCCTCTAACCTCTGGCCTGGCGACTCTGGGATGACACCCAGTTTAAATTACCAGCACTGCAAGCGGGAAGGGGCGAGCGCTGGGCCTGGGTTCGGGGCGCCTCCCTGGCCCTCCTTAATGAGTGAAAAAGCGTGAACGACACGCGAACAATTTTATCAATAGGACCATGTAAAGGCCGACTGTGAGGAAAGTTATTTATTAATATAGCCAATTGTGGCTGGTTCCCAGCCCCGCGAGAAGAAAGAGACTGCGCCAGAGGCATTCACACCAGCTCGCCGAGTTTTATTCTGTCCTGTGGCTCAGAGTTGAAGTTCCCCAAGTGAAATAAATTGTCCACAAAGGAGAAAAGGAACACATTTTCTTTTATTTTTCTTCCCCTAAAAAGCAAGGGTGAAACCAATCTAATGTGCCCAGTGGAGCAAGATGGGCCGTGAAAGGCTGGGTGTTAAAAGTAAAAGCGGGCTGTGCAGCAAATGGGATGGAAAATTAAATGAAATTAAATAGCTTGAACGGCCGTATTGTCCCTTATTAAAAAGACACATTAATTACATGGTCTCAGCCTTATTCAAAGACAATGTTGAGACTCAATCAAAACATTCCACTCGGCTTTTTTTTTTTTTTTATCGACTTGAAATGGGCGTCCAGAGTCTCCGTTAAAGCGAAATCTCTCCTACACCGAGGTGCGGGGAAAGGCGGTTTAGGGGCGGTCCTGCTCCCTGCCCACAGTAGAACCGTTCGGGCAAGGCTCCCTCTCCGGTAACAGGTTGCCCTAACGAGGCTGGAATGCTCACCAGCAGCCGCCGGCCCTCCGAGAGGCAGGCTACGGAGAGCTAAGTCCCACCCGCGGGCGGCTTTCGAACCCGGCAGCGTTAGGGGGCGGCCCCGCCTGGCGCATAGTCGCGAATGAGCGAAGAGCTGGGAATGCGGCCGGCGCCGAGCACGTGTGACCTGACTCGGCTCCGCCTAGAGGAAAGGAGCCCCTTAAGACTTTGAGGCTGAGATGAGCGGCTTCTTTCAGACCACACTTCTCCGGGGCTGCTCGTCACCGTCGCTCAAAGGCCTTGAGTTTCAGGTCCCCACGGGGACCGAGGGAGTTGTCCCGGGGGTTGGGGAGGCGGGCTCAGCCTTGGAGACCCTGGTGCTGGTGACTCACCAAACACCCCTCCCTCCTAGGTCAACGCGGAATCCCAAAACTGGGGCCGGAGGAGTCCTGAACCCGGGGATGCAGAGAGCCGCGCGGGGTCAGAGACCCGAGGCGAAGGAGGTTAGGGAAAGCAGAGAGAGTCCTGCAAGCCCCGCTTTCAGTAGCCGAATTTTGGCCTGAGGTGGCCTGGGCTGCACCCCCCGAGGGTGTCCGCGCTGGCCGGGCGGGCGGGTCAGCTTGGACCAGCTGCGCGGCCCCCGAGGCGCGGGTGGGACATTAAGGCCGGGTCTGAATAGGGCGGCGGCGATGGGCTCTGGGAACGCCACCAGATGACACGCCGGCGATGAGGCCATTTTCCCCTTAATTGCATGGCCGGTGGATGCGCGGCGGCCGGGAGGCTCCAAAGTGGCAGCCAGGACGCAGCCCGGACGCCGCTGGTGGGTTTTGTGGTGCCTTTTTTGTTGTTTTTTAAGTCCTCCGTTGGAAACGGCTCAATAAAAGTATTCAGAATCCCTCTCAAGTTGCCTTTTAACCGGAGTTCTCCAACTTATTTCTTGGTTCTTTCGGTTGACATGGTGCAAAGAAAAGTCAGCGAGCGTGTTGCTGAATTGCAATGTCTCGGGGCACCTCCACATTCAGCGCTTCTCTGCCGGCCGCTGCCGAATGAGCCCGCACTCAATTCGATTTTCCTTGCTGTTGGGCACATTTAGGAGCTCCTCTATTTGTGAAGTTCATTTCTAGGCAAATGTATTCAAGAGCTGATGGGAATGAATAGGACCGTGTGTCAGCCGCCCCTAATTGGGATTAAAGCACTTAGGAGCATATGCAGAGAGTGACAGAAATTCTCAGGTTGCATTGTGTTCAGACTTCCACCCGCTCGGACACTTCTCCTCCAGGGGAGATTTATAAAGATTGCATGGAGAAACTGAGGAAAGAAAAGCGAAACGGGAAACAACTGGGCTAATGGCTCACGATGAGGCTGCGGTTCCGCAAGTGGTGGTGACAGCTTCTGAGAAAAGATGCTGGGGAATAATTGAACGCGGGCCGGGGAGCAGGTCTGAACTCTTTAATCAGAAAGGCGGAGAGTTAAAAGGCGAAATAAAGGTGTTCTTGAGATTCCCAGAGGGTATTTCCCCCTTTTCTTCTTCTTTTTTTTCTTTTCCTTGAAGAGCCTGGATACATTTCTTTTTATCTCTACCCTCCCACACCCACACTAAATAACATATCCTCTCTTGGAGCAATAATAAGAACAATTTGGTACTCGAATTAGAGAGGGGAAAAGTCACAAAAGAAACAAAAATATCTTTTTTTTTTTGTATGTTGAAGACTTCACACCCAAATAAATCAATGAAAGTATTTTCTGGCCTATGAATGTGTGTATAAAGTATACACATGCTATGTTAAACACAATCATAATATGTATTTATACAATTAAGACTGTGTGTAGATCTATAGTGTGGTAAATCTCCACCTAGAAGTGGCTGCTGGGTTTCTGAGCTGAAGTGACAAAGCTTCCCCCAACCCCCTGCTCTGTCACCCAAGCTGGAGGGCAGTGGAGTAATCATGGCTCACTGGAGCCTCCATCATGGTTCACTGCAGCCTCGACCACCTGGGCTGAAGTGATCCTCCCATCTCAGCCTCCAGAGTAGCTGAGGCTACAGGCGTGAGCCACCACACTTAGCTATTTTTTATTATTATTTATTTTTTGGAGATTCCATCCAGGCTGGTATCGAACTTCTGGGGTCAAGTCAGCTTTCCAAAGTGCTGGGATTACAGGCATGAACCATGGTGCCCAGCCCACGAGGCCTTTTAAAACCTGAAAATCAACATGGAACTGAGGCTAGGACAGTTGTCTAAGCAGAGAGAATTGACAGCCTCTTTTAGCCCTTGAGGAGCAGAGAAGCCAGAAAGGACAGATGAACACTGAACAAAAGAATGAGGGGGAAAGCAGATACTTCTGAAATTATCTTGATTTTCTTTTCTGTTTCTTTTTTTTTTTTTTAATTCATCTGCAAACGTTGGTTCCCAGGAAAAGTGAGAGACTCTGGTTGTCTGAGCTCAGGATAGGAGAGAGACTTCTCACTATATTCCTTTTGGTATCATTTTGGATTTGGTACCATAAGAATATATTTCCAATTAAAAGTTATTCTTGCTGGATGTGGTGGCTCTCACCTATAATCCCAACATTTTAGGAGGCTGAGGCTGGGGGATTGCTTGAGAGTTTGAGACCAGCCTGGGTAACATAATGAGACCCTGTGTCTACAAAAAAAAAAAGTTAATAATAAGTTATTCTTGATATTACATTTTTTAAATCTGTATGAGGGCAAGGGGAAAAGAGGGAAGAAATAAAAGGATGGTAACGTGGAAATATGAAGAAGAGATGACAACCAGCAATTTTTATAATAAATTCCTATTCAAAATTAGGCTCCCAAACTCACTCTAGAAACACCTGCTAACCACAGGCTTAGCCATGGTGGGAAGCTGTGTTCTTCAACTACAAAGGAGATTCTGGATAAAGGAGATGACCATGTGACAAAGTGACAATCTCCCCCCACCCCACAACCACTTCAAGCCATGAGTGGAATATTTTCTTTCTCCCTCAATTCCTAAAACCTTCTTTCTCCCCCAGGCTAGCCCACCTCATAAAGAAAGAACATGTGAATCTGTGTTCAGGAGGCACAGGATTTTCCTTTAACCGCAAATCTAGTTTTAAACTTTTTGGAAAGTAAGTCATTATCAGAGGAAGCTGGCCTGGCAGATACCTTGGTAGCCCCTGGGAGAACCTGTGAGCAGTTGAAGTTGATCCAGTGGTCACCACGATAGCAAAAGAAACAAAACAATACAAATTTCCTGCTTATGTCACAACTAAGAGCCAAATTTAGGTTCATAACCAGCATCTTCGAATACCAATTAGAAAGTTCACTAGTAGGATCTGTGTGTTCTTCTACTGTCACCACTAATTATGTGTCTGATGCAATGCTATCACTCATGTTATCCACACTCATGTTATTTATATGCGTGAGCAAGTGATGATACATTTCAATTTCCTGAAAGTATAGTAGAATTTTATATATCCTTCATTTTACAGTAGGATAAACATTCAGATAACCTTTCCAACACATAAATAATCACAATCTAAAATTTTGGTAAGGTTACATAAGGTAAATTTTATGTATATACACCCAAAGATATTTTTAAATAGTTTTATTGAGATTCACAAGCCATAAAATTCACCCATTTAAAGTGTACAATTTTTTTAGTATATTCACAGTTCACAGGGATGTACAACCATTACCACAAGCTAATTTTGGAACATTTTCATCTCCCTCACTCAAAGAAAGCTCGTACCCAGCAGCTACCACTCCCCATTCATCCCCAGCCTCTCCAGTTCCAGGCAACCACCAGTGTTTTTCAGTCTCTAAAGATTTGCTTACTCTGGACATTTTATCTAAATGGAATCATACAACATGTGGTTGTGATTTTTTACTTAGCATGTTTTCAGAGTTCATCCATGTATCAGAGTTCATTCCTTTTTGTGGATAAATAATATTCCATTGTAGAGATATATCAAATTTTATTTTTCCATTCATTAGTTAATAGGCCTTTGCTATTATGAGTAATGCTGTTTTGAACATTGGTATACATGTTTGTGTGTGTGTGTGTGCGTGTGTATGTATATATATACACACACATATATATGTGTATGTTTTTGTTTTATTTTATTATTATATTTTTTTTGAGATGGAGTCTTGCTCTGTTGCCCAGGCAGGAGTGCAATGGCACAATCTCAGCTCACTGCAACCTCCACCTCCTGGGTTCAAGAGATTCTCCTGCCTCAGCCTCCCAAGTACCTGGGATTACAGGTGTGCATCACCATGCCCAACTAATTTTTGTCTTTTCAGTAGAGACACCATTTCACCATGTTGGCCAGGCCGGTCTTGAACTCCTGATCTCATGTGATCCAACCACCTCGGCCTCCCAAAGTGCTAGGATTAGAGATGTGAGCCACTGCACCCAGCTGTTTTTATTTCTTTTGGATATATACCTAGGAGTAGAATTGCTTGGCCATATAATAACTAAGTTTAATTTTGGGGGGATTGTCAAACCGTCTTCCAAAGCAGCTACACCATTCTACATTCCCACCAGGAGTGTATAAGGGCTTCAGCTTCTTCACATCCTTGCCAACACTTATTATCTGTTTTTTTAATTATAGCCATCCTAGTAGGGATGAAGTAGTGTCTCACTGTAGTTTTGATTTGCATTTCCCTAATGGCTAAATGAATAATGCTCAGACATACTTTTGCGTGCTTTTTGCCATTCATATATCCTTTTTAGGGAAATGTCTATCTAGGTCCTTTGCCCATGTTTCAATTTGGTTGTCTTTTAATTATTGAGCACACACATTTTTTATAACTTTTTAAATGCCCAACACATAACAGGCTATTAGGTTGAATGATCATAACAACACTATCAAGTAGAATTTATTATCTATATTTTACCAGTGAGAAAATTTCAAAGAGGTTAAGAAGCTTATTGGGGTCACACAGTAAACAATGGAGACAGAATTCCTCTCACATAATTCTGGGCTTAAAGTCCAGGCCATTTACACTTGACCTCACTGCATTAAGGGGCTTAATTGATGTCACATATCTGTTCTTCTCTATGCAAATGATTAAGTTACCACGGGACATCATAGTAGTTGAGAGAGTGGGCTCTGCAGTCAGAGTGCCTAGATTCAAATCCTTCTTCTGACACTTAGACACATGAACTTGAGCAAGGGTAACCTTTCTATTCTCCAGTTTCCTCATCTGTAAAATATGAGTAATAAAAACACCTACTTCACAAGTGCTCAGCAGAGCACTCAAGACATAGGATATACTCAGAAATGTTACTTATTAATACTCTTATAATGATACTATGCTCACCATTTACTGATCCCTATGATAATGTATTTGTACTGTTAGGCTAGGGATTGTATATGATAAATTAAATGGAGCAGGACTTCTGGCACCAGAGGCTACTTGAGAAGTCACGTAAGATACAGTCATGCATAGCTCAGGGCAACAAATAATTGATGAAGGGAAGCCTCTCTTTATAGATGTATTCTATCTCATAAATGAATAAAGAGTTTGAGAATTCAAGCATTATTGTTTTGGAACCCTTAGTGAAATAATGAATCCAGGCAATGATCATCAGTGATGGCTAGCAGCACAAAATGCAAGACAACTACATATTATGTGCCTCTGAATGGAAGCAGGCAACACCGCCTGTGAAATAATCTTGCCAAAACAAGCAAGCAAGCAAATAAACAAAATCAAACCTGAATCTGATTGTTCTCATAATAAAAAATAGAAAGGACAGATGAACATGATAAACAAATCGGTGGGACCCAATCAGCAAAAACGAAACAAAACAAAAACAGACTGTGGGACCCTTTACTGGACAAATCATTTTTATTTTTAACAAATAAGTTGCAAGGTGAAAGGGAGAGGGAGGGGGAACCAATACATTTAAAGAGATTTAAAGAGTGTGATGGTTTAAAAATATGTCCACAGATTCTTTAACAATTCACATCTCAAAAAGCGGAACCTTGAGTGTGGGCAAAATTTAATCACTTGCTTGTAACAAACAGAATATGGCAGCAGTGACGGTGTGTGATTTTTGAGACTAGGTCATTGAACATTCCTCCTTGATATCTCTACAACACTGACTAGGTATTTAATGATATTAGGAATTAATGTTAATTTTAAATGAAATAATTTTAGTATGGTTATGTTTTTTTAAATCCTTATTTTTCAGATACATGCTGAAATATTCACAGAAGAAATATGATGTCTGGGATTTGCTTTATGTAATTCTAAGGTGAGAGGGAAATGAGTAGAGGTATAGATCAGGATTTTTATAGATCAGGATTTTTTGACCTAAGCACTAATGACATTTTGGACTTTGTTGTAGGGGCTGTCCTGTCATTGTATAATATTCAGCAGCATCCTTGTCTCCACCCACTGGATGCCAGTAATATCCCTCCCCTATTGTGGTGCCAGACATTGACAAATTTCCCTGAGGGAGAAAATCACCCTCCGTTGAGAACCACTGGGTATAGATGAAACAAAATTGGCCGTAAGTTGATAATTATCCAATTTGAGTGAGTAATGAGTACATGGGCATTCGTTACAATATTCTGTCTATTTTTGTATGTGTTGGAACTTTTCAAAATAAAATGTTATTCAAAAATAAGATTTTTTTAAAAAGTCCAGTAGGGGAGAAGAGATGTGAGACAGGCAGTGGGTATGTGCACATGCTTTCAAATCTGAGGGGGAAAAAAAAGCAAAAACAGGTTCTTTGTTTCTGTGATCTTTTAAGAAGCTATACCAGCTATGGGCTAGAGAGAATGTGCTGAGTTGCAGGGTGTACAATCTAAATAGCTGCCTGGAATCTTCAAAGCTACAGTGGTACCTTGTTAGACCTAAGAAATCCACAGGCTTCACAATGGAAAAAAAAAAAGGTACTTCTGTGGCATTGAATAAAACTCTCTCTACTCTTCTCAGTTGGGATAGGAACCACCAAATGTGATCTGAACTTAAGTCAATTATAATGGCCTGAATTCATTTTATTTGTACAAATACCTTCCTTGTTAAAAAAAAAAATCGGCAAAGTTATTCCACATTCATCCTTGACCTTTAAGCCTCAAAGTCATGTTTGGAAGACAGCATGGAGGAGAAGAGTCTTCAGTAATATCCCTCAGTTTGGGGATACTGTGCTCCTAACAATATCCTAAGACATGTCTGGATCAGTGAGGGTTCTGAGGTAATGTGGAACCGTGTCCTCCCAAAATTCACATGTTGAAGTCCTATCCACCAGTACCTCACTCGGAATGTGAGCTTATTTGGAGATAGGGTCTTAACAAGATAACCAAATTAAAATGAATTTATTAGGTTGACTCCTAATCTAATATAACTGGTGTCCTCATAAGGAGAGGCATTTGGACTCAGACATGCATGTAGGGAGAATGTCATGTGAACATGAAGACAGCCACCTATAAGCAAAGAGAGAGGCCTGGAATAGATCCTTCCTTCACAGCCGTCAGAAGAAATCAATCTTATCAAAACCTTGATTTTGAACTTCTGGCCTCCAGAACTGTGAGACAATAAATTTTTGTTATTTAAGCCAACCTGTTTTGTTGTACTTTGTTAAGGCAACTCTAGCAAACTGATACAAGTACAAACACCAAAAACTCTCTGTGAAGGGTTGAAGCAGAAAGGGATAAGAGGTGGTTCTGATTCTATGTAAATGTAAGAAATACTGGCTTCAAGGCTACTTCCCCAAGGAAACCAAATTAAACCATAAGATGGCTCGACTGGAGGCACCACAGCCAAGGCACAGGACACAGACCCGACAAATTACACCGCTGTCTCTGAGAATGGCTCTCTGCCCCTACTGCCTCAAGAAGTTTGATACTCTGCTGTTGACCTCACAAAAAGGGATTCCACACAGGTGTTTGCTTTTTCACATTACTTATTTCCAAATCAAAGTCTTGGGTGGTAGTTTCTGACTTAGAACCTAAGCCATATTGCTATATCCTATATGCAATAAGAAAGCTGAGAAAATGAGCATCTGATTTATAAATACGGAAAGGATGGAGCCATGAGGTAGGATATTCCCAGTCATAGTTGAAAGGTCTTCATAAGCATGATACAATTTCACTACACTGCCTTAGTCGCCATAACAAAGTCTTCTATTACCTTCCCAAGTATTCATTTTTTCCATCTTCTAATAGAACCGTGATTGTATTACATTACTGCAAGTTGCATTGCTGTCTGGAACAAAGACTGTGTGTCCCAGTCTCTTTGTGGCTATGTAAGTCCTGGTCAATACGATGTAAAAAGAAGTGTCTTTTAAGACTAAGGAGACAACTCAGCCCCCTTTTGACTTTCCTCATGCTTGAAATGCAGACATGATGGTTGGGGCTACAGAAGCCATCTTGGTCCATGATATAATCCTGTGTATAGAAGACATGTACTAAGGATGGCCAAACAGAAAGATAGAAGGAAGCAGGATCCCAGATGACTTAATGGAACAACCACACCAACCCTGGATTACCTATGGCTGGACTTCTTCCAGGTGAAAATAAACTCTGGTGTCTAAACCACTACTTGGCAGGGGGAGGGAGAAAGTTCTTTTACTCAAGGCTTATAGCAATCCCGAAGTGGTACTACTAACATATGGAAGATGTTGGTTTGTTTCCTTTTGGGCTTTGGCTTTGTGTGTATTATCAATGAATTAACTTTTTAGATTTCCTTGTAATTTGTATTCATTTTTATATTTGAGAGGCTTATATATAAATATACCTTTTAAAATGAGATACTATTGATTTTATTTTACCAAAAATATTTGGAGAATAAAAACAAACGTTTAAGTCATTAACATAGGAACCATTCTTCTGAAAATTGCTACTTAATGTTTAAAAATAAAGACATCCTTTGAATCCAGGACATCATTGCTGTGCATTTATGAATTTGTAGTCTGTCTTGATTCATTTTGTGTTGCTGTAACAGAATACCACAGA
Organism: Homo sapiens; assembly: GCF_000001405.40. Lineage (NCBI taxonomy): Eukaryota > Metazoa > Chordata > Mammalia > Primates > Hominidae > Homo > Homo sapiens. The sequence goes on along the minus strand of NC_000006.12, from coordinate 99,595,010 downwards.
CTGAGTAATTTACAAAGAAAATAAATTTATTTCTTACAGTTCTGGAGGCTGGCAAGTCCAAGAGCATGGCACTGGCATCTGGCAAGAGCCTTCTAGTTGTTAAGAAGGTGGAAGGACAATGGCCGGGCGCGGTGGCGCACGCCTGTAATCCCAGCGATTTGAGAGGCCAAGGTGGGTGGATCACCTGAGGTCAGGAGTTCGAGACCAGCCTGACCAACACGGAGAAACCCCATCTCTACTACAAATACAAAAAAAGTTAGCCAGGTGTGGTGGTGCATGCCTGTAATCCCAGCTACTCAGGAGGCTGAGGTGGGAGAATTGCTTGAATCTGGGAGGTGGAGGTTGCGGTGAGCCAAGATCATGCCATTGCACTCCAGCCTGGGCAACAAGAGCAAAACCGTCAAAAAAAAAAAAAGAAGAAGGTAGAAGGACAAGAAAGTGCTCTCGAGAGAGCAAGAGAGACAGAGGGGGCAGAACTCACTTTTACAGCAAGCCCTTTCCCCCAATAACTAAGCCACTCTCAGGATAATGATAACAACGTTAGTCCATTAATGAGAGCAGAGCCATTGTGACCTAATCACCTCTTATTAGGCCCCTTCTCCGGGAACTATTGTATTGGGGATTAACTTTCCAACCCATGAACTTTGGGGAACACAATCAAACCAATAGCATGGTCTGTGGTCTAAATTCCGGATATTGTCAACCCCAACATTTAATTATATTTTAGTAGATGTTTAATGAAGGATATTAAACTATTCATATAGCATCTATCTTCTTCAGAATTGATCAATTTATTCATTCCTAATCTTAAACCAGCTGCCAGCTGTGTGATATATTTTAGGCTTCTAAGGGAAAAGTAACAAATGCAAAAATATTTCAAGTGCAGGGAGAAGTAGGTTCACATCACTGAAAATGAAAGAGATACCCATCCGTGTTTCCAAGGTCAAACCAAAGGCTATCATTATATGGTTCTTAATTTTATCACTGATGGTGATGCAGAGGACTTAAGAAAATTTAACCTGCTTCATCATGACTCATGTGAGGGTTGAGATGACTTGATAGAAAGAAATAATAAGAAAGAATTCAGTAGAGAGAAATAGATGATAAAGTGATGGAAGAAAAAAGTTAAAGAAAGGAGGAAGTGAGAAGCTATTAGAAATAAGATTCTATACTTGAGCAACAGATAAAAATGGAATGATTCACTGATTAGTATAACTGAAAATATAGGGAGGTGTGGATTCTGCAGGACAGCATCTGGATTAAATACTTTATAAGAAAAAATATAATTCAGCAAAAGTTTTTCTCTTCTGTGATAACATGACAGACATTTCAGTGCCTACTTGCCTCAGAAAGAGGAGCTTGACACAGAGCAGCAATCAGAAGCTACTTACTCTTTCATCATTAGAATATGTTGCCGAGTAATTAATGAAGTTGACAAGTTGAAGGCAATTTTCTGGTTCTTGTTTTAACAACAATTTAACTTTGTTTTTTATAACCCAATGATGCTGGATAAAATAAAACCAATTGACAGAGAAGTCAGGACAGGACTTGGTTGTTTCTGAATATGAAAAATATCTAGAAAGATGCTTCATCTTTATCCTTTACCTTATTCTGTTGCCCTCATAGCATACATGAATTCAGTTTTTAAATACTTATTTTTAATTTTTTAAATATATAACAAATCATGCATAGCAAAAGTTTTATTCCGTAGAATTCATACTCTCATTCTCTGATTTTTACATTTCACTCAGTCACAGCTTAGAGAAGTTGTGTAATATTGCCAAAAATAATGGCTCTTTTGATTTCCACATAATTTTTCCAGTGATTGTTTTTTCTCTCTTCTGGGGTTAATTTCCTGTAGCAAACTGTTACATAATCATCCCCAGTGAATTGAACCTCCTGGTATTCATGCTCTTGCATAATCTCCTTTCATAATGATCTTAAGCTTTGCCATATGACTTGCTCTGGTCAGTGGGACATCAGTAAATGTGACACAAGCAGAAGTTTCAGCACTTGCACATTTGTGTCATCCCCTTTTAATATGCTATCGATTGCCATATGAAGAAGCCTGATCTAGTCTTCTCAAAAGACCACACAGAGCAAAAGGTCCAGCCCTCAGCTCTCCACCAAATGAGTATAGCCACTTAGTGAGCCTAGGTGAGACTAGAGAAAGATCCATCCAGGTAAGCCCAACCCAAATTGCAGAATGGTGAAAAAATAAAGTGTTGTTTTATGTCACTAAGTTTTAATAACCAATTAGTTATTCAATGACAGATAATAGATAGCTACCCCTCCTCTGAATGAATATAATTAAATACAACAGAGATAAATGTGGGGGAGACTGCCTTGATTCAAATGATCAGTGGTCTAGAAATGTGAGAAGGTAAACTATTTAGACAAGAGATAGCCAACAAACTGGGGATTGTGACTGATCACAGGTATGGAAGATATTAAGATATCAACCCAAAAACCATCATCCCCATATGTTTTTTGCTAGCAGAACCCTGAGTTTGTGTAAAAGTGGTCAAGTGCTTTAGGGAATGCAAAGTCCCTCCAGACTCCAAGAGGTGAAACTTGATTAACTTAAGTCAGTCATGGTAGTTCCTTTACCTTCATTTTTGACTGGTTTAGGAACAGGCATGTGAAACAATTATGGCAAAAAAAAAAAAAAAACAAGTGAGAGCAAGTGTTTTGGAAGTACATGGGAACCGTTTTCTTTCATCTTAAAAAGGGTGTCTAAAAGAAAACAGTCTCCATTATTTCTGTGTTTGCATGTTTTGTGAGAATGAGATTCTTAGAAAAGCAGCAATCAATTGTGAGGAAACAAACCTGAGGACAGAAACCAATATCCACATCAAAGAATAAAGAAATGTTAGGTGTTTGTTTGAATAATTAGGCAATAGTTTCTGTAACCTAAATGTGAGATGTGGGTATTTTGATTTGCTTCTTTCTCTTGCACATTGGGAATTGAAATGAGAGGGTGTTTTGACTAATTTTTCTAACTAATGTTTTGCCTCCTATGCTTGCAATTAATTTACCTTTCAGTATTGTTTGGTCTTTTAAAAACTGGTTAGAAACTTGTAAGAACATTACAACTCTATCTCCTTTTCTGAAAATAAATGTGAACAATCGATTCTACATTCTTGATACAAGAAATGTTACAGTGAACGCTGGAATCTCAAAAAGACTTCTCTCTCTGGAGCAATGCAATTAGATTTTCCAGTGATTAAATGGGTCATCGCCGATAAGAAGTTATTGCTCAGGGCATAAGATTGTACTTCATTCCATCAAAGTGATGCTCAAGTTCAGAAAGCCGCACAGAAAGCACCCTTAGACAAACACAGACGTGGGAAAGGAATAAACTTGTGAGGCTCCATCAGTTTCCCCATTTGGCTCTTCAGCCCCCTTGCGAAACTGTCTGACCTCGGGCATCTGCGGAAACGCAGACGCTGAGGAAGCACCGACAGAGGAGCGCTTGGGATCTCTGCGGGCCCAGCCCAGACCAGTAACCTGCAGCCAATGACTGACGTCCCAATCCCTAGTCTGGGGACTGGGGGCTGGGGCGGCGCCACGCTGCTTTCCCGGGAGCCAGAAGACTCTGCTGGACCACCGAGCTCACGTGCAGAAAAGCTCGAGGCCCAGCCTCTGCCCCTGTGACAGGCGCCCAGGGAAAGAAGAGAGCCCTGGCTTCCTCAGGGGTCGGGGGATGGGGATGGTAAGGACGCCGCGCCGGGGTCCCTCTTCTGTTGGGGGTGGACGTGCCAGCAGGTCAGGCTGTTTTCCTGAGAGGACGGAAAGGGAAGGCTCGCTCCTGTCTCCTCAATCCCAGGGCCCCGCGGAACCCCCCTTCTGCGCTGGAACTTGGCCTCTTCTCTGCAGTGTCTCCCCCCCACGTCTCAGGCCGAGTTTATGCCTTCTTAGAGATCGACTTCTGTCGCTATGGCCCTTTCAAATCCTAGAAAGCAGCCTGCGGAGAGAGAACCGCGCGCTGAAGTGCAAGTGGCCACGCGCCTCCCGGCGGGCGCCAGCAGCTGCCTCAGGACGGCCGGCAGAGCTAGGCGGCTGCGTCCGTGGGCACCCCACCCCCGCCGGGCACCACCGCCCCGCGCTCGCGCCCTGCACCCTACCTGGTGCCTCACACCCCTCGGGGAGCGCTGCTAACTTGTCGGGGACAATGCGCAGTGAACCGGCCTTAGGGTTCCGAAGCTCGCACAGTGGGAGGAAGGCGACGAGGGGAAGGAAGGCAGATGCCCTCTGTGACTGTACCAAGCTGGTATTGGACTCCCTAGGCAAGAAGCCTTTTAAAATAATTTCATTAAATGCTTTTTTACTGATGATAATGACATCAATAATAATAAAAGAGATCCTGGCGCTCACATTCGTCTGTAAGAGTTTGGTAGCCCCTCTCTTGGTATGACCATCATTCATGCTTTCCATGAACACACAATGAGCACTCACTGTGCGGCAGCTCTGCTCGTGCTTGACTAGGATCATCCTAGCCCCTCCCAGGCCTCTCAAATATGAACTTCCCCCGTGTTTTCAGGAGCACTGCAAGGTAACTGTTACGTAGTTTTCAAAAAGTCTGGAGAGCCTGGTGACCATGACAAAGAAAGGCACAGTCATACATAGGAAAAGGATGTCTAATTTACTTGCATTGTTCCAGGCTCCATGCCAGAGTCAGGCCTAGGTTTTGATCCTCTGGAGAAAATGTACCAAAGTCGATGGTTTGAGGGACGTCAGTCACTGCCTTCTGGAAGACTAGGAAGACTGGAAAGATTATTTTTCTCATGCTTAACTGTTTACCTTTTTTTTTGTTAAGACAGGATCTCCCTGTGTTGCCCAGGCGGAACTCAAACTCCTCCGCTCAAGCGATTCTCCTGCCTCAGCCTCCCAACAGCTGCGAGTGCCATCGTGCCCTATTACTTTTGTTTAAAAAGGTTTGAATATTTAAAATCAGTTCCATTTAGTCAAAGAGTTACAATTATAGTTCAACTAAACCTGCAGTCAATGTAAGTATTCATACCCTAAGAAAAAGCACCACAAAATGATGTCTGTGATTGTTAACGGTTGATTGGTTTCCTGTGTCCATAGTGGACAATATTATGAAGCATAGACAGAGAAACATGTTTACTAAGAAGCTTTTTTTTCCTTCCAGGAAATTCTGTAGGTGAAAATGTTGAAATTGTCAGTTGAAATATCTGGTGAAGTCTAACATTAACATTAAATAAAAAGCAAGTGACAGGAGAGTACTGATGTATATTCCTCTTGGGAGATTAACTCTTTCTCTGCTAGTCCCCCCCTCACACCCCCACCCCTGAATTTGCCCACAGCCATAGCAGGGCCGTCAGTGTTTCGGGATGCCAGGCAGACGTAATTCGGCTTCAGAGCGCCTTGCTTAAGCAAAAGGCTGTGTGTACGTTCCCCAGGAGTCCGAGGACGGGCAGGCTGGCAAAGGCTGGCCCTGGTCACCGCTGGGAGAGGACGCCCCCGGGCTGGCTGCTGTTGCTGCTGGGGCTACTCCTCCCCGCCCCGGTCCTCCTCCAGCTTCTCAGCCGCAGCCGCGCTTCCTGCTCTGGGGCTCTCGCAGCTGTTTAGGTTTAAGGTACAGGAGGAATTTCAAGCTTTTTCTGATCCCATCCCACCCGCCCCCATCCCCCGTGAGACTGGCCTCTGGGCACCACGGTCTCTTCTGTCTCCATCCAGCTCAAATCGAAGCTTGGAGAGGAAGCCCCACAGCTGCGGTTCGACCCTGCCCCGGCAGACCGAGATGAAAGCAGCTTGCGGAGGCTGCTCCGGCACCCGGCGCGGGCACGCGAGGGAAGAAGCCCCGCGCAAAGCAGCGCAGCCTTGGCTTTTGAAGCTGCCCTCTATGCACTTCCTCCGGCTTCCAGCCGGAATCTACGACCCATCCGCAGAGCGGGCTGGGTAAGGTTGTGCGGCAGCAGCAACCCCGAGGGAAAGAATTTTGTTTCTTTTTGAGGCCCTGCTGCATTTCTGGTTCCCAGCCTGGAGCAGGGGGCGCCTCGCTCCCCGGAGTCCCACAGGCTTGGGCCGCAGCTGGGCCGACGCGGTCGACAGGTGTGTGAGGCCGAACCCCGGAGCACCGGGAGGCGGCTGGGAGCCAGGGCAGAACGCCTGGGGCGCATCCTCAGGGAGGAATCATCTGGCGTTCAAGCCGCTCTCGGGTCTTTTGCTGGATCTGCAGATCGGCTCACGCAGCAGGAGCCCAAGGAGCAGAACCTGGGCATGCCAGACTTTGCAGTCGCGCACGCCACCCAGCGCCCGCCTTGCGCTGGTCTCAGCTGGCGTTCCCTCTATTAGGCAGATCGCTTAGCGCTTGGGTCGGTTTTAGTTCTCCAGTGTCTCTCTCCAAAGGAAGCGCAGTGTAGTCGTTACTTCTCTACTCTCAGCTCCTAGAGCGATACCGGGCACACAGCAGCGCGCAATAAAGTATTGGCTCTTTCATTTAACATGTGTCTGTTGAGCGCTCACTATGTCCTAAACACCCAAGGCCTCCAGCCTCAGGAAGCTTAATTTCCAGTTGTTTGGATGAATGGGAAAACAATAAGGTATTGTTCTTGCGTTGCTATAAAGAAATACCTGAGGCCGGGTAATTTATAAAGGAAAGAGGTAGAGTTGACCCACGGTTCTTCAGTCTTTACAGGAATCATGGTGCTGGCATCTGCTCAGCTTCTAGGGAGTCCTCAGGAATCTTACAATCATGGTGGAAGGTGAAGGGGGAGCAGGCACGTCACATGGAGAGAGCAAAGGCAAGGTAAAGAAAGAGGGAGAGAGAATCGAAGATGTGATTGGAGGGATCTTCCACAGTGATCAGCTCTGTGTCCTGTGGACAAATTACCTGCTTTCTATGGAATTTAGTATATTTTCTCTTTACCTAGATAGGAAGATTTAGTTATAAATGTAACCTGCAATTCCAGTCTTTTAGAAGAGGACTTAAAGAGGACAAAGACTTAATAAGTGAGAGGAAAAAAAAGTGAGAGCGGAAAAAAAGAATAAAGTGAAAGGGGCACCCAGACCGTCCAACAATTAAAAACAAGCCCATAGCCAAGCACGGTAGCATGCACCTGTAATTCCACCTACGGGGGAGGATAGTTTGAATCCAGGAGTTTGAGGCCAGCCTGGGCAACATAGTAAAACCCCCATCTCAAAAGAGATGCTGGGGCTAACAACATGTCTCATTTTCCCTTTTCACAAAGAAGCATCATGAGTTTAAATCATATGAACTTTTCTCTGTTTTTAATTTAGTTCAAGGACTGCCAATCAAAGGAACTAGAATCATAAAACAGGTACATCCTGACAACTTCACCCTGAAGTGGGAACACCACTACCCCAATACTTCTAGCTTTCTCTTAAGCCACTTTAGCTTCTGGCTTTCAAAAAGACCTGTGAGGCCTGAGTTAAGAGAAAAAGGACAAAGTATTTCTTCCTGTGTTCTTTGAACAGAATGCCCCTGAGATTCTAACCTCTGGGAGGCATACTTTTTTCACTTCAGCTCCTGAAAATGACTTTGTAAAGGAAACTGATTAATTTGGGTGGAGGGGTGATGGAGTCAGATGAAAAAGTCAGGAAAATAAGTTCAGGGAAGTAAGACCAAATGAAAGATTCCTGAGTTATTAGCCAGACTTTTACTGGGATGTGGAATTTGGTTTACTGTCTGTAATTAAGAGGTTGAGCTGCTTTTTTTCAGAAGTGTGGTACCCTGTCTAGTGGGCCTCTTTGAACTTAGATTTTGGGTCTGTAAAGCTTTTCATTTGTTGTTGTTTTTTTTAAATCACATTTTCTGAAGAATTCCATACATAGTCCCAATATTAGGAAGTAGGCCTAGCAGTTATTATTATTCTAATTTTTTTAATGAGCGTCAGATAAGTTACTTATCCAAAGCCACATGGTTGGTGAATAGAGGAGCCCTTGTTAGCATCTGGGTCTGATACTTAGCTCAGCGTCCTGCCCACCATTCCGCAACAGGAAAAAAAATTTTAAAACTTAACCAATAAATATCTATTGACAACCTATTAGCAGCTCAGCACAGTAGGAAGGCCTGTGGAAGTGTGCTATTTGCTGGTCCTTAATATGTTCAATGTTGACACATACCTGCTTTGTTCCTTCTTGGCACTATCAGTATAATATAGAAGTCATACACACTCTAGGCACACAGTCTGGAATTACTTCCTGGCTGCAGCATTCTACAGCCACACTTCATTTTATTGTGTTTCACAGATATTGTGCTGTTTACAATGGAAAGTGTGTGGTGACTCTGCATTGAGTACATCTATTGGTGCCATTTATCTGTTATGGTGATCTGCGATCAGTAATCTGTGGTGTTATTGTTGTAATTCTTTTGGGGTTCCATGAACTATATTTATATAAGTCAGCAAACATAATTGATAAATGTGTGTGTTCTGACTGCTCTACCGACTGGCAGTCCCCATCACTTCCCCTCTCTTCAGGCCTCCCTATTCCCTGAGACACAGCAGTGTTGAAATTAGGTCAGCTACACCCTACAATGGCCTCTAAGTGTAGGGTGAAAAGTAAAAGTGTTCAAGTGAAAAGAAAAGTTGCAAGTCTCTCACTTTATATGAAAAGCTAGAAATGGTAAGCTTAGTGAGGAAGGCATGTGGAAAGACAAGACAGGCACAAAGCTTGGCCTCCTACACCAAACCATTAGCCAAGTTGTGAATGCAAAGGAAAAGTTCTTGAGGAAAACTAAAAGTGTTGTTCCTGTGACCATACAAGTGATAGGAAAGCAGAACAGCTTTATTACTGATGCAGAGAAAGTTTGAGTGGTCTGAATAGAAAATCATACTAGCCACAATATTCCCTTAAACCAAAGCTTATTCCAGAGCAAAGCGCTAACTCTCTTTAATTCTGTGAAGGGTGAGAGAGGTGAGAAAGCTGCAGAAGAAAAGTTTGAAGCTAGCAGAGGTTGGCTCATGAGATTTAAGGAAAGATGTGGTCTCCAAAACATAAAAGTGTGAGGTGAAGCAGCAAGTGCTGATGCAGAAGCTGCAGCAAGCTAACCAGAAGATCTAGCTAAGATTGCTGATGAAGGTAGCTATACTTAACAATGGATTTTCTATGTAGGTGAAACAGCCTTCTATTGGAAAAAGATGCCATCTAGGACGTTCATAGCTAGAGAGAAATCAATGCCTGGCTTCAAACTTTAAAGGAAAATCTTCTGGAAAGGATTCATCATTTGTCATAACTATTAAGAACATTTGTGGGCTGGGTATGGTAGCTCACACCTGTAATCCCAGCACTTTGGGAGGCCAAGGTGGATGGATTGCTTGAGCACAGAAGTTCGAGACCAGCCTGGGCAAAATGGTGAAACCCCATCTCTACAAAAAATACAAACATTTGCTGGTCATGGTGGCATGCACCTGTAGTCCCAGCTACTCAGAGGCTGAGGTGGTAGGATCATTTGAGCCCAGGAGGTGGAGGTTGCAGTGAGCTGGGATTGTGCCACTGCACTCTAGCCTGAGCAATAGAGCAAGACTCTGTCTCAAAAAAAAAAAAAAGTTAAAGTGTTAAAAAAAATTTGTAACTCATGGGAAGAGGCTAAAATAGCAACATGTTATTCACAGGAGTTTGGAAAAAGTTGATTCCAACCATCATATATCACTTTGAGGGGTGCAAGACTTCAGTAGAGGAAGCAAGTGCAGGTGTGGTGGAACTAGCAAGAGAACTAGAAGTGCAGCTTAAAAATGTGACTGAATTGCTGCAACTCATGATCAGACTTGAACAGATAAGGAGGTACCTCTTATAAATGCTCAAAGAAAGTGGTTTCTTGAGATGGAATCTATTCCTGGTGAAGATGCTATGAACATTGTTTAAATGACAACAAAGGAATTACAATACTACATAAACTTAGTTGAGAAAGTATTGGCAAGGCCTGAGAGGACTGACTCCAATTTTGAAAGCAGTTCTACTGTGAGTAAAATGCTGTCAAACAGCATAGCATACTACAGAAAAATGTTTTGTGAAAGGAAGAGTCCACTGATGCAGCAAGCTTCACGGTTGTCTCTTTCTTTCTCTCTTTCTTTCCTTTCTTTCTTTCTTTTCTTCTTTCTTTCTTTCTTTCAGAGAGAGATTTTAACACACCTCTCATAGTAACTGACAGAAAAAAGCAGACAAAAAGATCAGTAAGAATATAAAATATTTAACCACATAATTAACAAACTTGCTGTACCCACAAATGTATGATAATAAACTCATACCTTTCAAATCAGAACACTTCAGTAAGTTTACCATGAATAAAGCAAATCATAAGTTGTCTTAGTTTTTTAAAATTACCACAGCCACCCCAACCTTCAGCAACCACTACCCTGATCAGTCAGCAGCCATTAACATCGAGGCAGGACTCTCCACCAGCAAAAAGATTATGACCCACTGAAGGCTCAGGTGATCATTAGAATTTTTACCAGTAAGGTGTTTTTTGGCCGGGCATGGTGACTTACTCCTGTAAGCCCAGCACTTTGGGAGGCGAAGGTGAGTGGATCACCTGAGGTCAGGAGTTCAAGACCAGACTGGCCAACATGGTGAAATCCCATTTCTACTAAAAATACAAAAATTAGCTGGGTGTGGTGACACACACCTGAAATCCTAGCTACTTGGGAGGCTGAAGCATGAGAATTGCTTGAACCTGGGAAATGGAGGTTGCAAGTGAGCTGAGATCATGCCACTGCATTCCAGCCTGGGTGATAGAGTGAGACTCTGTCTGAAAATTGAAGTTTTTTTGTTTGTTTGTTTTGTTTTTGTTTTTGGGTTTTTGTTTGTTTGTTTGTTTGTTTTGAGACAGAGTCTCACTCTGTTGCCAGGCTGGAGTGCAGTGGTGCAATCTTGGCTCACTGCAACCTCTGCCTCCCAAGTTCAAGCAATTCTCTTGCCTCAGCCTCCCAAGTAGCTGGGACTGCAGACACCCGCCACCATGCCCGGCTAATTTTTGTATTTTTAGTAGAGATGGGGTTTCAATATGTTGGCCAGGATGGTCTCCATCTCTTGACCTCGTGATCTGCCTGCCTCAGACTCCCAAAGTGCTGGGATTACAGGCATGAACCACCGCGCCAGTCCAAAAGTATTTTTTGTTTAAGGTACATACATTGTTTTTTAGACATAATGCTATTCCATACTTAATAGACTACAATATACTGTAAGCATAACTTTTATGTGCACTGAGAAACCAAAACAAAATGTGTGGCTTGCTTTATTGCAATATTTGCTTTATTGTGGTGATGTGGGAATGAACCCACAATGTCTCCAAAGTGTGCTCATGCCTATGTGGACTTGGGCATGTTATTTAATCTCTCTCAGCCTAAGTTTTCTCATCCATAAAAAGAGCATCATAATAATACCTCCTTAATAGGCTTGTTAATAGGACCAAATAAAATGTGTGCATGTAACTGTTATTAAGTATGGTAACATTTCAGGTAGCCGAGTTAGATGTTTACTGCTAAGTTAGATTTTTACATAGGTAGATCAAGAATTTATTACCTAGGAGCTGAATAAGGATTTCTGTTTTTAATAATGTGCATTAAAAGACTGGTGAGATTAAATGTGTTTCTACTGGCTTTACAATTTGTGAGTAAAGGTAGCATTACATAAAATAAAATCCTAGATAAAAAGTGGTATCACTAGCTTACCAAATTCAAGTATTGTTTTTATCATAACTTGACTAAATCACGGCTTTCATGTTAAGGAAAACTTTTAAATTAGCACATCCAAGGCCCTGGCCATAGGAGCCTGATATTCTTCCCTCCAGTACTGTCACTAATTGTCTCTTCTTAAAGAAATAATTCCTGTAAGACCATTTAAACTTTTAAACTTATGCTCAATATGCCTTGATTTCCCCCTCCTATCACATTACAAAAAGGGAGGAAAAAAACAAAGTATAACAGCTTTTTCTCCATTTTTATCTATTCCCATTTACACACTGTTTTAATAATTCACGTAAAAATTATTTTCCAATTTCAATTGCGATTTTTTTGTTTTGTTTTGTTTTGTTTTGTTTTGTTTTGTTTTGAGATGGAGTCTCGCTCTGTTGCCAGGCTGGAGTGCAGTGGCGCGACCTTGGCTGACTACAACCTCCATCTCCCGGGTTCAAGCAATTCTCCTGCCTCAGTCTCCCGAGTAGCTGGGACTACAGGCGCCCGCCACCACGCCCGGCTAATTTTTTGTATTTTTTTAAGTAGAGATGGGTTTTCACCGTGTTAGCCAGGATGGTCTCGATCTCTTGACCTCGTGATCCACCCATCTCGGCCTCTCAAAGTGCTAGGATTACAGGCATGAGCCACCGTGCCCGGCCCAAAAATGTTTCTAAGTTGCAACTTTTTTTTTTTTTTCTGAGACAGGATCTCGCTCTGTCACCCAGGCTGAAGTGTAGTGGTGCAATCATAGCTCGCTGCAACGTCAAACTCCTGGACTCAAGGCACCCTCCTGCCTCAGACCTGAGTAGCTAAGACTAGAGATGTGTGCCACTGAGCCTGGCTAACTTATTTTTATTTTTATTTTTATTTTATGTATTCATTCATTCATTCATTCATTTAAGACAGGGTGTCTCTCTCTCTCTATTGCCCAGGCTGGAGTGCAATGGTGCAATCTCGGCTCACTACAACCTCTGTCTTCAGGATTCAAGCTATTCTCTCACCTCTGCCTCCCCAGTAGCTGGGACTGGCATGCACCTCCACACCTGGCTAATTTTTGTATGTTTTGGTAGAGATGGGGTTTCACCATGTTGCCCAGCCTTAATTTTTTTCTAGAGATGGGGTCTTGCTATGTTGCCCAGGCTAGTCTTGAACTGCTGGGCTCAAGCGATTCTCCTTCCTTGACCTCTCAAAGTGTGGGGATTACAGGCATGAGCCACTGCATCCAGCCTAAATTGCAAATTTAAAGAGATTATGTCATTTTCTCCTTTTCAGCACTTTAAATGTCTTTGAAGATCAGTGCTTCTTGGTTAGTACAAAGAACAAATGTATATTTTAAAATTTTTAATAAAAAACTAAACATCTGGCCAGGCACGGTGGCTCACACCTGCAGTCCCAGCACTTTGGAACGTCGAGGCAGGCAGATCGCCTGAGGTCAGGAGTTCAAGACCAGCCTGACCAACATGGAGAAACCCTGTCTCTACTAAAAACACAAAATTAGCCAGGCGTGGTGGTGCGTGCCTATAATCCCAGCTACTTGGGAATTGAGGCAGGAGAATCGTTTGAACTGGGGAGGCAGAGGTTGCGGTGAGCCGAGATCATGCCATTGCACTCTAGCCTGGGCAATAAGAGCGAAACTCCGTCTCAAAAATAATAATAATAATAATAAACTGAACGTCTTTGAACAGAAAAGTTTGGGAGCTGTTTCTTCAAAGAATATATAAAAACTATAACAATGTTCCCTGATTTCAAGTCACTTTCAGATAAGTTTTGTTCTAAATCCTGATAAGTGGAACAAATAAAATAAGCATAGCCTACTGTGACGGAAGTGTTAAGCTGAGCGTCTGTCTTGACAACACGGAAAGTTATTTTGGTGACTTCTCAAAGCAAGTGGGATTTCAGCTAGAATTTCTATCAGATGGACCGTTTTTCCCCTCCCTGGGATGCTCTGTGCTTGTAGCCCCACAAAATTTGTTGTACTCCTTCTTCTTTTTCTATGTCAATTAGAACGCCAACAGAGTTTTTAAACAATAAAGAGATTTATTTTCACCTAAAAAAAGTCCGAGCAGGACAGTGACCATGGAAGTTGGAATCCACTAAGGAGTGTGTAACAACCCACCTGCCAAATCAACTAAAAAAAAAAATCCAGATATAGGCACTTGAGAGGTTGTTTAATTCAATGGTTCCTCAACATTGTCACCCTGAACTAATTTTTTTCATGCCCTTTGGTTTTGTCATCCTCAGCCTTGTCTTTACAGTCATAGCACATCTGCCACACAACAGTGATCACATACAGCAGTTTCTCAACTTTGGAAGTTGGTATTTGGGGCTGAATCGTTCATTGTTATGGGGGGCTGTCCTGTGCATTGTGGAATGTTTAGCAGCATCCCTGTTTTCTACCCAGTAGATGCCCATAGCACTCTCCCCACAGTTACAACAAGCAAAAGTGTCTTCACTCTTCAGTCACTGCCAAAAGTCCCATGGGGAGCGGGGGCAAAATCATCCCCAGAACTGCTCACTATAGATACAACAGTCAGTAGCAGAAAACAGATTGATTTTTTTTTTCCTCCAAATACTTTAGTTTATGACCTCGCTCAGAAGTTCTCAGCAGACTTCCCCTCCATGGCATTGGCTAGAATTGTCACTTGCTCATGCCTAAACCAACCACATACAAGGTAAATGAGAATCAATGCAGCCCTCAGACTCAGGTAAGTGAGATGCTGTACCAACCCACACCTCAGAATCTTTGGAGTATATATACACACACACACACACACACAAATATATATACACACACACACATGTACACACAGACACACATATATATACATATATGTATATATACATATGTACACACATATATACACATATATGTATATATACATATGTACACACATATATACATACACACACATATGTATATATATAAAATTTTTTTTTGAGACAGAGTCTCACTCTGTCACCCAGGCTGGAGTGCAGTGGCATGATCCCAGTTCACTGCAATCTCTGCCTCCCAGGTTCAAGTGATTCTAGTGCCTCAGCCTCCCAAAGTAGCTGGGATTACAGGCGCATGCCACCACACCTACCTAATTTTGTATTTTTAGTAGAGAGTATTTTTAGTATTTTTAGTTTCACCATGTTGGCCAGGCTGGTCTCAAACTCCTGACCTCAAGTGATCTCCCCACCTCAGCCTCCCGAAGTGCTGGGATTACAGGCATGAGCCACTGCACCTGGCCTGGAGTATATTTTTAAAGTAAGCTTTGTATTAGGCCATTCTTGTGTTGCTATAAAGAAATACCTGAGACTGAGCAATTTATTTTAAAAAACAGGTTTAACTGGCTCACAGTTCCACAGGCTGTACAGAACAGGCATCTCTTGGCTTCTGGGGAGGCCTCGGGGAGATTTTACTCATGGCAGAAGGTGGAGCAGAAGCTTGCACATCACATAGCGGGAGCAGGAGCAAGAGGTGGAGGCTGGAGGGCCACACTTTACAGCAAACAGATCTCATCAGAACTCATTCACTATCATGAGGACAGCACCAAGCCAAGAGAGATCCTCCCCCGACCCAAACACCTCCCACCAGGCCCCACCTCCAATAGTGAAGATTAGATTTCAACATGAGATTTGGGCAGGGACAAATATCCAAACTACATCAAACCTCTTATCTTGGAATAATTTAATTTAAATTTACAGAAAAGTTATAAAGATAGCACAGAGAGTGCCTATATGTCTCTTACCCAGTTTCCCCTAATATTAACATCTTAACATAACTATAGCACATTTGTTAAAATTGAGAGACTGTTATTGCTTCATGACTATTAATCAATTTTCACAGTTTATTCAAATTTCACCAATTTTTCCTACTATGTCTTTTTTCTGTTCCAGGATCCCACGCAGGATACCACATTACATTTAGCCATTAAATCTCCTTATTCCCCTCTAGTCTGTGACAGTTTCTCAGTCTTTATTTGTTTTTGATGACCTGGATATTTTTGAATAGTGCTGGTCAGATGTTTTGTATAATGTCCCTAAATTTGGGTTTGTCTGATGATGTTTTTTTTTTTCTCATGACTAGTTGTAGGGTTACAGACTTTTAAGAGGAAGACCACAGAGGTAAAGGTAGAGTTCTCTCCTTATCACATCATGTCAGGAATACATACTACCAACATGACTTATCAGTGTTGATGCTAACCTTGATCGCTTTGTTCAGGTAGTGTGTGCCAGGTGTCTCTGCTGTAAAGTTACTATTTTTTCCCTTTACATAATCTATTGTTTGGAAGCAAGACACTAAATTCAGCCCATACTCAAGGGGTGAAGCTTTAAGTTCCATCTCTGGAGGGGAAACTGTCTACATGTATTATTTGGAATTCTTTAGTAAGGAAGATTTATCTTTTACCCATTTATTTATTTACTTAATCATATACTTACATATGTATGTCAGCATAGATCCAGGTATATTTATTTTATTATTTGGGTTAAAATACTGTACTGTTTGGTTGTTATGGATGGTTAATTTTAGAAGTCAACTTGATTAGGCTAAGTATGCCCAGGTAACTGGTAGAACATTATTTCTAGGTGTGGCTATGAAGTTTTTTCTCCTGGAAGAGAAAAAGGACATAGTAGGAAGAGATTTGAATCAGTTGACTGAGTAAAGAAGATAGCCCTCACCAATGTGGTGGGCATCATCCAAACTGTTGCATGATTAAACAGAACAAAAAGACAGAGGAAGGGTCAATTCACTCTCTCTTCTGGAATCTGGACATCCATCTTATCTTCTGCCCTTGGACATCAGTGCTCCTGGTTGTCAAGCCCTCAGGCTTGGACTGGAACTACACCACTGGCTTTTCTGGATCTCCAGCTTGAAGATGGCAGGCTGTGGGATTTCTCGGCTTCTATAATCAAGTATGCCAATTATATATATAATCTCCTATTGGTTCTGCTTCTCTGGAGAACCCTGATTAATATAGTTGTTGCTCATTATCATGTGGTTGTTCCCATTATCATTTCAATGTCTTGATGTATATTCTTCCACTTATTTCTTCTTGCTTAGATATAAATAAGTACACAGGCATATAAATATGTTTGTATGTGTATTTATTCTATAGAAGAAATTTGGTCTGGAAGTCAAGTCTGAAAAGGATGATTGTTTTAGAAGCACCCTCAAGTAAGTCTAAAGCACAGTCAAGATTAAGGACCACCAACCATCCTAAGCCAATTATGGTTGTTCTCATCAGGGCTGTCCCTAGTTTTGTGGGGCCCTAGACACTTTTTTTTTTTGGTGTGAAACCTCTATCTATATAAACAAAGGAAATAAGGAGAGAATGAAGTAGAATGGAATTAAAGCTGAAAGTTCATGTTAAAGAGAAAAACTAAGAGCATACAAACTAAAGTTACAATGCAGAGACTATGAAGCAGACAGAAAATACTCAGAATGGGGAAATAGTATAGGCCAGTTGGAACAGGAAAACAAGAAACACACAAAAAGAAGTATGTCTCAATTCCAGACAGTTTTCTAGTTACAATTCTAGCGCCAATCCACATTTCTTCTTTTAATGAACTGTAAATTTATGGAAGTAACTTTGCAACCAAAAAAGTTCAATTATAGTATGTAGATGTGAAAAAAATGAATAAAAACAAAGAAGAGAATTGGCCAATGCTGCAGGGATAAATAACATAATGAAAGAAGTTAGGGGAGTATCCAGTTTATAGCCAGAAAGTGAGATCCATTCTGAGCTTTAGTTTGAAAAGTACCTCAAAATCAATCATTTCAGAAGACCACTAGACAGATAGACTTCCCCAGAGTTTGCAGATCTGGTCTTTATTTTTGCAGACTCAGAAACATGAGCTGCCAGATTACTAAGTCTAGTCTATCTCTTGGGTGTAAATACATTGATCAAGCTCATAGAAACTCATACATTAAAAACCCAACCAGGTGCAGTGGCTCATACCCGTAAATCCCAACACTTTTGGAGGCTGAGACAGGAGGATCACTTGAACCCAGGAGTTTGAGACCAGCCTGGG
This sequence comes from Homo sapiens, assembly GCF_000001405.40. NCBI lineage: Eukaryota > Metazoa > Chordata > Mammalia > Primates > Hominidae > Homo > Homo sapiens. The sequence continues at coordinate 99,577,332 of NC_000006.12, read as the reverse complement.
CAACATAGTGAGACCCCCATCTGTGAAAAAAAAAAACCTGCAAAAAACCTAATATATAATCTGTCATGAGATTACAGTTAAAAAAAAAGAAAAAACAATACAAATTAATTGATTTATAAAGATAATTGCCAATTGATTAAATACTTTTTTACTGCTCATAGCATTATATTTCCATAGGCAAATTAATGTGGGAAACCAAATTATTATTGAAAGATTGCTTCATAAGTACAAAATTAGATCAATAGAAGTTGGTTGAAGTTAGTGCTATCAAGTTATAACAATCTGATACATCAACTTGTACCCTAAGAACATACTTGCTGAAGAGCCTAGATACTTAAGTCTGTGGGCCAGAGCTGATTAACAATCTGAAGACACTGTAGCAGTCAAAATAATAGTCTCCAAAGATGTCCTCAACTGAATCCCCAGAACCTGTGAATATGTTATGTTACATGGCAGGGAGGAATTAAGGTTGCGGATGGAATTTAGGTTGCTAGTGAGCTGAATTTAAAATAAGAAAATTATCCCAGATTATCCAGGTAGGCCCAGGGTAGTAATCACAAGGGTACTTTAAATGTGGAAGAAGAAGGTACAATTTAGAGTGACACAACATGAGAAAGACTCAACTGGCCATGGCTGGTTTTGAAGATTAAGGGAGCCATGAGCCAAGAAATGTGGGAACCTCTAGAAACTGGAAAAGGCAGGAATACAGATTATCCTCTAGATTCTTTAGAGAGGAATACAGCCCTGCTGACACCTTAATTTTAGCATAGTGAGATGCATCTACGACTTTAGGACTTTTTTCTTTGTACAAGATTTTATTAAAGTTCTTTACAGAACAACATCCAGACTCCAGACACAGCTGCTAAGTAGACCCTGTTATGCTGTGGGGACTGGCTGGGACATGGCAGGTGGCTCTGGCTTCCTACCCTTCTCTTCTGAGATGGGAGTGGTGGAGAGTATCTCATCTTTGGGTTCCACGAACCCAAAGATGGGTCCCCTGCCCCTGGTCGGGCAGGGACTTCCTAGGGCTAATCTTACCAGCTGGTTCCCAGGGAAGCATGACCTTCACCTTGATGCCCAGCACAGCCTGTTGGAGCAGCACATGGTGCACAGCGGTGTCAACATAGTATTAACAGGGTCCCAGCTGTGGATCATCAGGCCATTCACAAACTTCATGGATTTAGCCCTCTGTCCTCAGAGTTTCCTGGACACAATGACCTTGAAGCCTTTAGTCCCACACTCCATGATGAACCGCAGCACACCATAGCAGGCCTTCTGCACAGCAAGCCCTCCTAGGGGTTTGTAACACAGAGACTCTGCCTGGACAATGGCACATATCTCTTGTAGACACCTTTTCAGCATAAAGCTCTACTTTACCCTCTGAAAAGCCAAACCTCTTCTGAACTACAGCAGTCAATTCCCAAATATGCCAGCCCTTCTCACCAAGAACATTCTGTGTTCTGGTGGCTAAGGTAAAGATTTCTGTCCTAGCTGGTGTAACTCAGACCTCAACTCCAGAGTAGCTATCTTCAGCCAGCTCCTGAATGAGAACTTCATTCAGTTCAGCTTTGAAGATACCATCAATGACAAACTTCCTCTTCTTGAAAAACTGCACCACCATCTTGCTGTGGCACACCAGTGAAAGGAAAGGATGACATTTAGGACTTCTGACCTCCAGAACTGTAAAATAAGGTAATTTGTTATAGCAACAATGGGAAATGAACACAGACACCCTGCCAAAATTTGATCTTTCTGACCTCTATTTATGGATTCCATAAATTTTCCTTTCACCATCTTTTAAAGCAAACTAATATAATAACTTGGTGTAAACTTTTAGTTACATCACAATCCAGACAGGCTTCCCCAGCTGGATCACCTTGATTGGTGTTCACCAATTATTTGGACACTTCTTGTTCTGGCAAATCTTGTATGCAGGCCATTTCTTGATCCTGGGAATCTCCAGACAATAGGATTGAAGAGATCTGGCTCTAAGATTTCTTATTGATACATTTTGTTCTCTCAAAGGCCATTCTAGACTAACCAAAAATGAAAGGTGAATTCTGGAATCACTCCAAATGTCTGGGGACACCAAATCTAGGAGTGTACAGGGCAGAACAAATATCTAATGGCATGAGTAAGCTGGCATATTGTAACCCAACATATTTGATTATTGTTCCCTGCAGAATACAACTGCATTACAGTGTCAAAGGCTTGTCTTAAAAGACAGAGCATGTTCCTCCTTGTATGAAGCTAGATACAAAGAGATCTTCCTCATCTCTGAAAACAGAGTTCTTTATAGTCCATGTTATAGAGTCCAGATTTGTTCTAAATTTAAAAAAAGCTAACAGTTATTGAGCTTTTACTATGTATCAGGCACTGCTCTAATTTCATTTAAGTTCATTTAAACTTCACCACAACCCTATGACTTACCAATAATTATCCCTGTTTTACAGATGAAGAAACTGAGACTCAGAGTGACTAAGTAGATGACCAGGGTTAGACAACTGGTAAGCAGCAGAGCTATTATTTGAACCTCATCAGTCTAGAGACTGAGTTCTTAACTAATACACTTTATACTACAGTTTGAATATGCCCTCAGAGTTTACATGTTGAAAACTTGATCTCCAATGTCATGATGTTGAGAGGTGGAGCCTAATGAGAAGTGATTAGGCTATGAGGCCTCTGCCTTCATGAATGGATTAATGCTGTTATCCTGGGAATGGGTTCCTTATAAAATGATGAGTTTGGCCCCGTCTTGCTCTCTCTCTCTCTTTCTCTCTCTCTCTCACCTTCTCTTTGTCCTTCTGCCATGGGATGATGTAGCAAGAAGGCCTTCACCAGATGCCAGCCCCTCAATCTTGGACTTCCCAGCCTCAAGAACCCATGAGCTAATACATTTCTGTTCATTATGTGAAAGTTGTCAAGATCAAAATGGAGTCACTTGTGTTAAAAAACAAAAATAAAAAATAGAGCCTCAAAGGGCCATGAAGGAAGGGTTCTCACAAATAAATGCCTGGTAACAAAAACTATCACAAAAGATGCTGCAAAAACCATAACATTGCACAAACACCACAGCAACCTTGCACGAAAAACAGTATTTCTGTGAGGATATCTGCCCAGCAACTGCCTATCTAATCTTGGACTGGTGTCACCTTTGTAATTGATCTTTGTAGCCATGGCTAACTTATCTCAAAACAATTATGTAATCCTTTTCATTTTTTCTTTAAAACCCTTTGTGTTCCTTCACCTCCCTAAATACCCATGTAGTTTACTAAGGGTGCACATACTCCTATTGCAATGCCCTATTCCTAAATAAAGATCATTTTCTTTTAGAGAGCCTCTCTCTGTTATCTTGGTTGACAATTATAAATTACCCAGTCTGTGCTATTCTCTTATAGCACAAAACAAAGACACTTTTCCATAATTTAGACGTGTATTCATCTTCAACAAATACAGGTATACCAGAACAAAAATAAAGGGAGGTACAGGGGATGACTACATAAAGAAGAGGATGTTTTTCACAATAAGGACTATTAATAACAAAGCAAAGTAATTATGATAATAATTTAATTAAAAATGAGAGGATTATCTCCAATAATTGTGTTTGAGAAGAAAAACTTGTACTACAAACTTGGAATAATGTGCTTATAGCGGTTTCATCATAGTAGTTCTGTTGAAGCTGTCTAGTTGGATAAAAAAGTTATTGCACTGTGAATCAGAAGAATCGGATTCCAGGTATTCTTGCCGCTATTTAACTAAGTGAGCTTGATAAAGCCACTAACCTTCTAGCTCCTAGTTTACCAGAAATAGTATTCATGCTGCTGGAGAAAGCACTGTAAGAAGAAAAAGGATAAATGCTTTCTTGTCACAGGAGATTGAACACTAGCATCAAGAATTTATTAACATTTTAAAATACTAAAAGAGTATAATTGGATTGTTTGTAACACAAAGGATAAATGCTTGAGATGATGGATACCCATTTACCCTGATGTGATTATTACTCATTGCATGCCTGTATCAAAATAGCTCATGTACCCCCATAAATATACACACCTACTATGTATCCACAAAAATGAAAAATAAAAAATTTTTTAAAAAGAATTTATTGAACTCATCCCATTTGAAAAGCACAAGGTAAGTTGAAAATTGGAAGGGACAACATTAATTTATTTCATCAAGTTTAAATTAGTGGGTAGTGAGGTCTGAAAAACAATACTCCTAAAATTATAAAGAAAAGTTTAAAAAATCATCAGCGAAAAAAGGCAAATCTGCTAGATAGCTCATGATCTTTTTGCATCCAGGTAAGCTGGGATATCTATGTATTTTAACAGCTTTTGTAAATTTATCTATTCCACTAGAGATATCCTTAAATGAAGTTAGCTTTTGGTTCAAGTCAATTTAATTCAACCTACATTTATAGAATGACCTCAAAAGCAATTTACTCTGAAACTAAGGAAGCCTAAGCTCCAGGCCTGTCACTTGCACAGCCCCCATGAGCACTGGGAGCTGCTGGGCATTTGGTGGAAGCAGAAACCAGGTCACAAACAGGAAGAGGTTCTATGTAGCACTTGTGGTAAATTGCCTAAAAGAGTTCACAGAAGGAAAGGACCTGAATTTCCACAGCTCTAGTAAGTTGTTGTGGCTCTTTTTGCATTCTAAATGTAGTACTCACTTTTCAACATAATTTTGTATCCGTAATGTTATATCAAAGCACATCCCCCAAATTCTATAAGAGATTTATACAAAGATGAAGGATCTCACTGTTTTGTAGGAAGAAGAGTGCAGAATTAGGTATAAAACAAAATTGCGGGGCACGGTGGCTCATGCCTATAATCCCAGCACTTTGGGAGGCTGAGGTGGGTGGATTAACTGAGGTCAGGAGTTTGTGACCAGCCTGACCAACATGGTGAAACCCCATCTCTACTAAAAATCCAAAAAAAAAAAAAAAAAAAAAAAATTATCTGGGCATGGTGGCAGGCACCTGTAATCCCAGCTACTTGGGAGGCTAAGGCAGGAGAATCGCCTGAAGCCATTGCACTCCAACCTGGGTGACAGAGCAAGACTCTGCCTCAAAAAAAAAAAAAAAAAAAAAAAGTGCTAGTCCAGTAATAGCAACAAAGTATAATAGGATCGCTTAGAATAAAACATTAGTAATACTAATTCGTTGCAGTATCCTTATCTTCTGGATGATGCCAGTTTCACAAAAACAAAACAAACCCTGAGAGAGTTGAAGAAATCCTGAATCTGTGAACTAGCCCATGGCCTGGAGTTTCTTAAGGTAGTGCCTTTTAAATATAAATATAAAGATAAATATATATATATTTTTATTTATTTTTTTTTTTTTTGAGATGGAGTCTCACTCTGTCGCCCAGGCTGGAGTGCAGTGGCTCGATCTCAGCTCACTGCAAGCTCCGCCTCCTGGGTTCATGCCATTCTCCTGCCTCAGCCTCCCGAGTAGCTGGGACTACAGGCGCCTGCCACCACGCCCGGCTAATTTTTTGTGTTTTTAGTGGAGACGGGGTTTCACCGTGTTAGCCAGGATGGTCTCGAGCTCTTGACCTCGTGATCCGCCCACCTCAGCCTCCCAAAGTGCTGGGATTACAGGCCTGAGCCACCGCGCCCTGCCAATATTTTCTATTGTGATCTGTAGTGTAACAGACAGTAGTGTTCATGAAGTATACTACACACTCGTTTACATTTCTCAGCTTTCTTTCTTTTTTTTTTTTTTTTGAGACAGAGTCTCACTCCGACACCCAGGCTGGAGTGCAGTGGCGCGATCTTGGCTCACTGCAACCTCCGCCTCCCAGGTTCAAGCGATTCTCCTGCCTGAGCCTCCCAAGTAGCTAGGATCACACGCATGCGCCACCATGCCCGGCTAATTTTTGTATTTTAGTGGAGACGGGGTTTCACCATGCTGGCCATGATGGTCTGATCTCCTGACCTCGTGATCTGCCTGTCTTGGCCTCCCAAAGTGCTGGGAGTACAGGCGTGAGCCACCGTGCCTGGCCTCAGCTTTCTTCACAGTTAAAAATTGGAGGCATGTGTCTATTCTGGTCAATGGCCCATGAGAGAAAGTGATTGGGTTGTTTCTGTTTCAAGGCTCTTAACCCTGGGTAAGAGTTAGTATGAGTCCTCTGTGCTCTCTCTAGAAAGATTTTAAACCTAGAAGTAAAGACCATCAAGATGGAGTAATTGAAGGATATATAAATATTACATTCTTGAAAATCTGGAAGACAACCACCAAGGAGAGCAAGCCGACTTTATGGGACTTTATGGGAGTGACGTATGACATGTAAAATACTTTGATGTTAAGCTATGCTGATTAGGGGTGGGGGTGGGGAGGTGTTACCACAATTTCACCTAGTGTAGCTTATCCAGACTAATTCATTCTTTTTTCTTTTTCTTTTTGGATTTGGAGTCTCACTCTGTTGTCCAGGCTGGAGTGCAGTGGCACAATCTCTGCCCACCGCAACCTCTGCCTCCTGGGTTCAAGCGATTCTTGTGCTGCAGCCTCCCGAGTAGCTGGGACTACGGGTGCACGCCACCACACTCCGCTAATTTTTGTATTTTTAGTAGAGACAGGGTTTCACCATGTTGGCTAGGCTGGTCTCAAACTCCTGACCTCAAGTGATCCGCCCATTTCGGCATCCCAAAGTGCTGGGATTACAGGCGTGAGCCACCACACCTGATGCAGACTAATTCTCACATACAAACAAATGCATTTCACATCTTGACTGTGTGTGTATATGTGTGTTTGTGTATGTATATACACACATATATAACTGAACCAAATTTAAATATAATATCCTTGCTATTTCTGATTTACCTAGTATTTTCTGTTCTATTTAGGAAAATGATTATACTTAATTTTACCACACCCTAATTGGTCTCCACCTACAATGTGAAAAATACTGTCTTAAGTTGCCTCAGATGCTGACTGTCTATAAACAAGTTTCTGGAGTGTCCAATTATTTAGAAAAATAATTATAAGTTTTACAATAAATGCATTGCTACAATGAAAATGAAATGGAAAATACAAAATATTTCGTCTTGTAAAATTAAATTATGGCTTTTTTTGCAGTATGTTTCTATTAGGTGCATACATGTACATACATGTGCATACATATATGCATGAATATTTTTAGATGTTCTGCAAAACTGTTGATTCCGCTGCTCTGTAAGTTTGCACTTTATCACTCCAAAATAACTCCATTAAGATCGCGGCCGAGATCTCGCCACTGCACTCCAGCCTGGGCGACAGAGCGAGACTCCGTCTCAAAAAAAAAAAAAAAAAAGATCGCGGCCGGGCGCGGTTGCTCACGCCTGTAATCCCAGCACTTTGGGAGGCCGAGGTGGGCGGATCACGAGGTCAGGAAATGGAGACCATCCTGGCCAACATGGTGAAACCCTGTCTCTACTAAAAATACAAAAATTAGCTGGGCGTGGTGGTGTGAGCCTGTAGTCCCAGCTACTTGGGAGGCTGAGGCAGGAGAATCGCTTGAACCTGGGAGGCAGAGGTTGCAATGAGCCTAGATAGCGCCACTGCACTCCAACCTGGGCGACAGAGCAAGACTCCGTCTCAAAAAAAAAAAAAAAAAAAAACCGCCTGATCCAGGCCGGGCCTGGTAGCCCACGCCTGTTAATCCCAGCATTTTGGGAGGCTGAGGCTGACGGATCACCTGAGGTTAGGAGTTCCAGACCAGCCTAGCGAAATCCCCTCTCCACTAAAAATACAAAGATTAGATGGACGTGGTGGCACGCGCCTGTAATCCCTGTAATCCCAGCTACCTGGGAGGCTGAGGCAGCAGAATCATTTGAACTGGAAAGGCAGAGGTTGCTGTGAGCCGAGATTGTGCCACTGCATTCCATCCTGGGTGACAGACCCAGACTCCGTCTCAAAAGTAAAAAACAGGCAGGGTGCGGTGGCTTACGCCTGTAATCCCAGCACTTTGGGAGGTTGAGGAGGGCGGATCACGAGGTCAGGAGTTTGAGACTATCCTGGCCAACATGGTGAAACCCTATCTCTACTAAAAATACAAAAATTAGCTGGGCATGGTGGTGCGCGCCTGCAGTCCCAGCTACTCGGGAGGCTGAGGCAGGAGAATCGCTTGAACTCCTGGAGGCGGAGCTTGCAGTGAGCCGGGATCGTGCCACTGCACTCCAGCCTGGAGACAGAGCAAGACTCCGTCTCAAAATAAATAAATAAATAAAGTAAAAAAAAAAAAGGAACACTTGATCCCTGAGAACAAAGTCATCTTCATTTATTTCTCTTTCCAATCACAGGAAAAATAAGTCACAAAACCTTGTACTTTATTACAATGCCACATTGTTCTGTTTTTGAAGTCCTGGAAGAGGTAATAACAGAACCCCGTATCTGAGCCACTTCGCCTAGGTTAGACCCACTCAGCAACTCCCGTGCTGAAGACAGGAGACCGAGCGGCTTGGGCCCCCGGCCAGAATTCTCAAGACGCTCTCGCGAGAGCCTTCCAACCGCCGCGAGCTCTCGTGAACACTAGTTCTCTTCAATCTCAGCACCTCCAAGGGTCAGCACCTCCCCTCCGGCTCCCTCCGCTACCGCGGGCCGGAACTTTTGTCGATAGGAACGGGTTTGCACAGTTGAGTGTTGTCGGCCGGCGTGAAGGAGACTAGGGGGCCATCCTCTTCCTTTCGCCGTCGCCGCCGCGGAGCGGAGTCGAGCCGAGCTGATTTGATCGAGGAGCGCGGTTACCGGACGGGCTGGGTCTATGGTCGCTCCGCGGGCCGCTCCGCCGGCTGGTGCTTTTTTATCAGGGCAAGCTGTGTTCCATGGCAGGGAACTTTTGGCAGAGCTCCCACTAGTAAGCGATCTTCCGTCTTCTCACCTGGGGCCGGTTTTTGGGGGAGCTGTGAGGACGGGGCCTGTGACTCCCCTGGGCCTGGATCCCAGCTCAGTTCCGAGTGCCGGGGTCCTCACGGGAGACCGCAGCGGTCAGAATCAAGATGCGCTTTTCTGAGGCGACTCCCCTCCCCGCCCCCAGCCCCAGTTTCGGGGAGGGAAGGATCTGTGAGGGGGAGGGGTGGGAGAGAGTTTCGTCTCCCGGGAAGGAACGTTTCGGAGTTTAATTTCGGATTCTTGGTTTAGCTAGGCCGCGGGGGGTCGGATAGAGTGGGCACAGGTACGGGAAGTGTGACTCAGCTCAAGACTGTGAGGCTACCTGTTCAGGACAGTTGTGGCGTGCTTTTACCTGGGGTTTCTTCGGGTGATCGGCGTCGTGGTCTTTTGTCATTCACTGTATATCTTGAGTGGATTTAATATTATGAGGAGAGGAGAGAGTCTGGCTTGTTTCTGCCTACTAACCGCTTCTTGCGCGTACTTTATGTCTAGATGGAGTTTTATATTGATAAGGTATAGGGCAGGTGCCCTCTAAATTTATCCATTTCATTAGCCTGTGCTTTATATTTTGTTTTAAAGGCCTATTTTTCCAGTGACTTTGTTTACCTGTTTCTTTAACCTTTTTCATGAATAAGTTCTTGTTTCTGTCAGTGACCATGTGAGAGCTAGAATAATATTAAAAACATTTATCCCTAAATACATTTGTTTAAGCAGGCAGGAAGGTGCGTTATGGGGTAAATTGAACATTTGAGTAGGCTTTCCACTGTATAGTTGAAAGATGAACAGAATTTGACAAGGTATCTTGGTATAATTTTTTATGCTAAGAAAGCATTAGTAAGTAATTTAAATTTCGATTCTGTGAATAGGATCTGTTCCTGATGTTCATTTTTTAGCCCTTTGCAAAGAGAAAAAAAGAAACAATGAACTCAGTAACCTATTTAAGGAAAAGCAGGTTTTCCTCTTGCTATAAAGTGATTCTGTGGAGATGACATGTTAAAGAAGCTTTACCACTGATCATATGTGTGTGTGTGTATATATATGTGTGTGTGTGTATGTATATATATATGTGTGTGTATATATGTTGCATTGTTTTCACACACTGAAATATTGCTTGGGCAAAATTAAAGTATCGAAAGTTTAGGTATTGGAGTTAGAGCTCCTGAAAAAAAAAGTTTAGGTAGTGGAGAAGAGATATTCTGATAAACTCTGAAAGAAGCTGAGAGAATTGACAAGTAGCTGACTGTTGATTTTTCAGTTTTTCAACTTAAAAAAAAAAGATCCTGCCTTATTTTCAATAGTGTTCTCATTATGCTTTCATTTATTCATAGCATTCTAAAAATATGTTTTCACTTTTCAAATATAAAATTATTATAAAGTTAAGTGTACTTCTTTGAAACTATTCTTTTCTCCCAATTCAAATAGTCCTAAAAGAAGGGACCACTTTGCCTTGCTCAAATCCCTTGAGCAGTCATGGAGTTTCTTATCTGGAAAAGGTAACGAGTGTGGAAGACAAGACAATTCTGGAAAAACAAACGAAAAGATTATGAAAGGCCATTGTCTTAGGTGAATTTGGTGAAAGAGGGCAATTGATATTAAATATGCTATATTTCATGCTTCTAAGATGCACGTTTTCACACTTTAACATCTTTGAAATCAGCATGGCAGTTGCTTTCATAGCATATGAAATAATGATGAATCCTAGATGTAATCTTAAATTTGATGAAATGCAGTATTTATAAAGTTTTTTAGTTTATTCTCCATACAGAGTTCTGTGAGGAAAACTCATAAAATGTTTGTGAAATTTATCTTTTTAAAAACATAAAATGACTCTGTGGGGATGAAATTAATTAGCAAACCACAGTGTAGTTGAGGTAGAACAAAACACAGTCTGTGACCAAAATGAACTAGAAGGGCACTAAGTATTTGCTGGTTAATTGAATGCATTAATGAACAAGTAACAAAAATAAAAACTACAAAACTAACTGTGGATACTTTATTGGTATCCACAGGAAACTGAAAATACAGTTACTTACTATCTAGAAAATAACATCATAATAGTACCATATATGGAATGTAACCAAAGCTTGAATGTATTAGAAAATCAATATCCTGAATAATTGAGAGATAATAGAAATATTCTATTTAATAATATTAAGAAGGAAACATGAAATAAACCTAAAGAAACAGAAAGACTTAAAATAGATAACGATGCTAATATATTAAAAGGAAAAAAATTATAAAAGCTAATTCTTAGAGTAAATAAAAACAGTAGACCAAACTACTGCTAGTTAAATCAGGGGAAAAAGGAATGATACAAAAATACAAAATTAGGAATGAGAAAAGTAAACCCAGGGGTACTTTTGGGTTATCTCCAGGGTTTTAAATTTGAAAGCCAAAGCAAGTTAAGAGTATTACCCAAGAGCTATGTGTTATTTCATGGGTAAATACTTTCCATCTTTCAAGAGAATCTCCTTTTGAAATTGTTCCATTTCATACAGAAAGAAGAAAAGCTTTCTAATTCTCTTTATGAAGCCATGATAACACAGAAAAATCTAGCAAAGGGAACACTAAAAACAGTCTCACTTTTGAATATTAATGCAAACATTGTAAATGAATTATTACCAAATGCAGTCTAACATTACATTGAAAGTATAAAACATGACATTGGATTTTATTATAGAAATATAGTCAATATTAAGAAATCAAGCAGTAAAGGTATTAAAAAACTAATACAATTCAACATTTATCCTTGACTAAAGCTCTTACTAAAACAGAAATAGGATGCTTCCTTAACATGAAAAACATAAAGCATCAGCAGTGGTGAAACATTGAGATAATTAGGGTGCCTATTTAAGATTTTACCAATATGCTAGTCAATACAGTTGATACAAAGGAGATATAGAAAGAATGACAAAACAGGGACAAAATTATCAATACGTGGAAATAAAATTAATGAGAAAACTCAGTTAATTGAGAAGTTATTAGAAATAATAAAGGTTTAGGAAGGTGACCAGTTATAAAATGCAAAAATAAAAGCTTTTTAAAAATGGATAGAGAAGTATAATTTACATTAGCAACAGAAAATATACAGAGGGAAAAATATAAAGAAATATACAGAACCTGTAGGAAGAAAACTTTAAAAGTCCATAGTGGCACATACAGATTTTAATAGAGTTTGAATTCTTGGTAAGATGTCATTTCTCCCCATATTGATCTTTAAATGTAATGTAATCACAAAATTTGAATGGATATTCTTTTTTAGGACTCGACATAATGCTTCTAAAGTTTAGGTCTTAGAATAATTGTGATAGAATAGTCAGAAATTTTCAGAAGAATAGAAGGGAGTATTTTTCATATCACCTATTAATTACTTAATTTTCTATGTTTTAAAGTAGCACAGCATATGAAGAAGAAAAAAATAGGAAATTATAAAGAAGATCCAAGTATAATGATAGAATTATAAATCAGGAAATACCTTAGCACATTTGGATAAGCATTTGACAACATATTTAGCTGGATCCCTGCTTTATACTCTGTACCAAAATAAATTCCAGATGGATCATAAATTGAAGGAAAAAAGCTCTTAAGGGTATTAGAAAATATGGGTGAATTGTTTTTTATCGTTTTGAATCAGGAAAGGCCTTGCTATGCCTGACAAACATGAAAGTAAAAGGTAGATTTAAGTAAGTGATTCAGATTTCTGTATTACAAATAAATACTGAGAGATATTTAAACTTGGGAGAAATTTTGCACTTATTTGACAAACAAATGATTTATTATTTATACTATACAAATTTTAGATCAGAAGAATCTCTTAATCATTAAAAAAATCGGTAATCCCATTAGAAAAATGGTCATATTAGAATTAACATTGTACAAAAGAAGAACTGTATTTGACCAATAAAGACATGGAAAGATGTTTAACCTCAAAAGTAAACTACAGGGAAAAGAAACAGTGACATACTACTTTGCCTTTAAGTTACAAAGTATTTAAAAGTGGCAGTAACCCATAGGAATTTTTTTTTTTTTTTTTTTTTTGACAGAGTCTCACTCTGTACCCCAGGCTGGAGTGCAGTGGTATGATCTCAACTCAGTGCAACTTCCACCTCCCGGGTTCAAGCAGTTCTCCTGTCTCCGCCTCCCAGGTAGCTGGGACTACAGGCGCACGCCACCACGTCCAGCTAATTTTTGTAATTTTAGTAGAGATGGAGTTTCACCATATTGGTCAGGCTGGTCTCAAACTCCTGACCTCAGGTGATCCACCCACCTCGGCCTCCCAGAGTGCTAAAATTACAGGCATGAGCCACCGCGCCCGGCCAGGATTAAATATTATAAGATTCACTCATGAACTGTTAATACAAATGGAAATTGGTATAATGTTTTTGGAGGGTAAACTGACAATGTGTATCAATAAGTTACCAGCAACACTAACCCATTAATCCTACTTCTGGGAAGTTATTTCAAATATATTATTAATCAAATATGCAAGGAGAATTACAAAGATATTCATTAAGAAGAATATCATTCAGGAAAATAGTAGGAAGAGAGTTTTTTTTTATACCAGCTATTAATTACTTAATTTTCTGTGTCTAAAATAGCACAGCATGTGAACAAGAAAAAAATAGGAAATTATAAAGAAGATCCAAGTATAATGATAGAATTATAAATTAGGAAATACCTCCATGCATTTGGATAAGCATTTGACAAAATTTTAGCTGGATCCCTACTTTGTACCAAAATAAATTCCAGATGGATCATAAATTGAAGGAAAAAAGCCCTTAAGGGTATCAGAAAATATGGGTGAAAAATGACGACCTGTATTTCCATCAGTAGAGATTGGCTAAATAATGATCCATCCATAAAGCTGTATAAAAGAATGCTGAATAACAAGTTCATTGACATAAGACTTCAAATACATATTGAATGACAAACACAGGTTCAAGATAGTTTTTTCTTTGAGTCATGTCAATTTCATATCTGGTTAAAAATAGCACACTTGACTAGGCAAGAGGAGGAGGCTATCAGTGTAACACATTCTGAGGCAGTTTTTAATATAATTAGATTTGTGAAGTAAGGAAATTAAATGCCATAGTTACCCATGAACAGCTGGAAAACTATATACTTCCTCAAATCTAAGCCACCATCAATTGGTGCCAAATAATTCCACCATTATCTTATATCACTAAGAAAGAATAAACATGCTGCCAATTAAAACACGAAGGCATCACAGATTGTAAGACATATCTTGATATCAGAGCCAGAATCAATGAAATACAAGCTAGTAACAGACTAAGGAGGAAGAAGGAAAAGATTAGAGCAGAATTTTTTCAGGACGTATTTACATTTATTAGTGAGATAATTCTTATTAGTCACGTTTCAAGAAATGTGAGAAATAATTGTCTTTAAGGTTACTTTTTGCACTTTGTACTTCTCAGAATATGAACAATGTGTTCAATCTTAGAGTGTTTCCTCTGACCTTGCTTGTTGATTTTCTGTAACATGTCTTTTCTAGTTTGCAATGGATTTTGGATAAACAAGATCTGTTGAAGGAGCGCCAAAAGGATTTAAAGTTTCTCTCAGAGGAAGAATATTGGAAGTTACAAATATTTTTTACAAATGGTAAACTTTTTTAAAAATTGGTTCAAATTGTATAGTTGGTTACCTCTGAATAAAAATGTTTTTGTGTGGTAATTTGTGAACTGTTTTAGTGCATACCTAACATTTTTGCTTATACAGGTATTCTTTTTACAACATATTCATTTATCTTTCTTTTTAGTGATCCAAATAAAGTTTTTTTGTGTGAATTTTACATATCACAGGCACTCAAGACAATTTGAAAGTGTTACCTAATCTCCCTAAGACTTTATAATAATTATTAGACCCAGTTCAAGGTTGGCTAAAGCAAAGTACTTTGAGGATAAATGATTCTTTGGATTGACATCCTATAGTGGTCGTTTCTCTTAGAACTTTGCTTTGAAGGGAAGAAGATGTAGGGATAGATCTTTACTCTGACATGTAGTAGGTTTGTCACATAATTTTTTTAACTTTCGGTTCACTATTTTGTAAACTTATCTTTTTTTTGAGGATTCGTTATGGATTTTTATGTATTATTTATTTATTTTGGTGAGCTGTATAAAGCTAAGTGTGGTGGCTCACACCTGTAATCTTAGCACTTTGGGAGGCAGAGGTGGGCAGATCACTTGAGGCCAGGAATTTGAGATGAGCCTGGCCAACATGGTGAAATTCCCTCTCTACTAAAAATACAAAAATTAGCTGGGCGTGGTGAGGCACAAGAATCACTTGAACCTGGGAGGTGGAGATTACAGTGAGCCAAGATCGTGCTACTGCATTCCAGCCTGGGCGACAGAACGAGACTCTGTCTCAAAACAACAAAAAAAGTGGTAGTATTAACAAGTTTCATAGGTGTCTAATATTTTCTTTTTATATTTATTATAAAGATACTATGAAAAGCATTAAAAATATTTAGAAGATAGAGGGGAAATATTTATTCAACTTCCTTAATGGATGAATAATTTTTTCCTGTGGGGCAATTTCTGTTTTGTTGTTGTTTTGTTGTTGTTTATGCATACCTATATATTTCTTAACACATTTGCAAATCCTAGAATTAGACCACTGTGACTCACATAGAGCATGTGTAGGTTTTTTCCTTTGTTAAAAATGAACATAATTATGATTTAACCACATGGAAGTTACTGTTCAATGTTAATATTATAATGATACCAGAAGATACATTTAAAATTTCATTATTTGCCTTTTAGTTATCCAAGCATTAGGTGAACATCTTAAATTAAGACAACAAGTTATTGCCACTGCTACGGTATATTTCAAGAGATTCTATGCCAGGTAGGATTGTTTTTATTTTATTTATTTGAACTCTTATCTAATGTTGATGAACCTTAGCACAGTGTAAATGAATCATGTGTCTACCATAGAGTTATCTTGATTTTTTTCCCAGTGTGTTTTCTGTATGAATGATATTTAACTTTGTTTTATCATATTTTAGGTATTCTCTGAAAAGTATAGATCCTGTATTAATGGCTCCTACATGTGTGTTTTTGGCATCCAAAGTAGAGGTATAAAACAATTTTCTGTTCTTCATCAAAGTGTAGTCAATGTATGTTGGTTAATCTGCCCCAGTTTTCACATGGCCTATGTAAAATTAATAAATGGTAATTTATGCAAAATACTAAAATTGTACAAAATCAAAGAAATATATACATATCCTTATATATTCACTTAACAGACACATACAGCACTTACTGTGTACCAACTGACTTAATCTTTGTAACAAACTGGAATACATAGTAGTAGTATTCCCATTTTATAAATGAGGAAACTGAGACAGAGATGAAGAACTTGCTTAAGATGATATAGCTAGTAAGTGTGAGAGCCCGTGTTTGAACCATGGGAGTCTCGTTACCAATCCTGTGTTCTTAACTACTTTCCTCTGCTGCCTTTGAGACATCTATTGTTTGGCACTGAGTAGTATTCAGTAAGTACCACAGCTTGCCTACCATAACCTGAGAATGTCCCTTATGCTTCTCACCCATATGCTTATCTTCTCCTGTCTTCCCTCCCATCATCCTGATGATTGGCTGCCTACCAAGCCAGAAGGAAGGCAAGGATTAGGGGAAGCTATAGCTATATAGAGTCTAACAAGTAAAAGTTGAGGTTGTGAGCGTAGAGAAATTAGGTAAGGGAGAGAAGATAGATAGGAACTTGCGGCAGAGACTGAATTTCTGTTCAACTGTTTTACCTTTGTAGTATTTTTGAAAGAGCTCAGCTAAAGTCCAGAAAATAATAGCAGATATTGGCTGTTTTTCATAAATAATGTAGTCTTTGGTGGTGTGAAATCTTTGCATTATGTTTCTATTTTTGGATAATGTCTTAGAGTTCTATTCTTAGAGTTGTATTCTTGAATATTGAATGTGATTTTTACCTAGTAAGTTTACATTCCTTTTGGCACCCACTTTGATTTAGTTTTGTTTTAGCCATGATTTAAGGTTATCCATGACATCTTTCCCAACTGTTACCTAAATAATGACAATTGACTCTGTTAGAAATAATATTAAGACAAGCTTTCTAGAAGTTTATGTTTTCTAATTGTGAGTGGTAGTTTAAGAAGGCAGAATCAGTTAAGGTCCTTATTATGGATTGAGTTTTCTAATTCTAATAATTCTATGTAATATTTGATTTTATTTAAATATTACCATGTAATAATTTAAAGTCTCTTAAGCACAGGCAGTATGGAGGACCAAGACAAAAAATCTTTATAAACATTTAATCTTGTAGATTAATTTGAGGATTTTAATCTATCTTACTTGTTAAATATTGTTATGTGATTTACTGAGTAGAACTCTGTGATGTGATTTACTGAATGAAAGTTTTCCCTTTGAGTTTTGGATAAAGAATTATTCCTAGGCCGGGTGTAGTGGCTCACACCTGTAATCCCAGCACTTTGGGAGGCTCAGGCGGGTGGATCACCTGAGGTCAGGAGTTTGAGACCAGCCTAACCAACATGGCAAAACCCCGTCTCTACTAAAAATACAAAAATTAGCCGGATGTGGTGGCAGATGCCTGTAATCCCAGCTACTAGGGAGGCCGAAGCATGAGAATTGCTTGAACCCATGAGGTGGAGGTTGCAGTGAGCCAAGACTATGCCACTGTACTCCAGCCTGGGTGACAGAGCAAGATTGCATCTCAAAAAAAAAAAAAAAAAGAATTATTCCTGAGAAAGAGAATGTAGTCTTTCAGATTTGGTCGTAGCATTATTATTATTTTTTTTTTATCTCTGTGACCAAATCTTTCTGTATTTTCTCTAGTTTTATGGAAATTGTATGGAAAGCTCATTTAAGAACATGTCTCAGGCTTTTACTTTTTCTTTTCAGTTATTATAGTTGGAGGTTTAAATGTAAAACAAATATATTAGTACACATACATTTCCCCTACACAGGATAAGGATGTAGGCTGAAGGTATTTAAATAGATTTTTAGTTTAGCTCCTTTTGTTGGATAAGAAACCAACTCTTGATTTTTTTATTTTAAAATGAAGTGAAGGCTTTAGAAATCTTACGAGGCAATAAATGAAACAGTATATATAAGGTGGATCATAATAAATTTTAGTATTTTCACAATGGTGGTTGTTCAGTTGAAAGAGGAAATGGGAACTGACTTTGGAAGTCTTACGTAATTCCTGTCTCCCTGTTCTAAAAAGGATAGTAACTATTTATATGGTTTTTTTTTTTTTTTAGTTCTTTTGGTGATTAATTAAGGTTTATCTTATTCACAAATTCAACTGTTTTACCATAGAATGGCATGAAGTATCTGTTAATACAGGTTGAATTGAATAGGAAACATACTTAATATTCTTGCAATTAAGTATAGAATGTAAACAATCTTCTTGGAAACTAATTTAAATGGAAAAACTGACACTGTAACCTTAAGGCTTGGTTTCTAATTTGGTACCTTTTATTGTTATTAAATTATAAAATTATTTTAAAATATGTCTTAAGTTGTAGCAATTTGGGGGAGAGGTAATACAGGCAGAATATCCGTAATCTGAAAATCCTAAATGCTCCAAAATTTGAAACGTTTTGAGGGCCAACATGACATTCAAAGGAATGCTCATTGGAACATTTTGCATTTCAGATTTTTAGATTAGGGATGCTCAACCAGTGTAATGCAAAATATTCCTAAATCAGAAAAATCTCTGATCCTAAGCATGTCAGATAAGGGGTAATCAGCCTGTACATTTAGGAGTGTAAGTACTTCACACCTCAAGTAGTTAGAAGGTGAACAGATTGTAAACAGGAGCAAGGAAATCCTGTTTTGAATAGAGTTCAGATACCCTTAGATTCATTGGGTTAACATGTACCTGCTTTTCTTTCTTTAGGAATTTGGAGTAGTTTCAAATACAAGATTGATTGCTGCTGCTACTTCTGTATGTAAGTGCAAAAAGTATATCTGCTTTAAGGATGTAATTCTAAAGAAAGCTCCAGAGTACATAGATTTTTTTTTTTTTAGTTTATGAGACATATGAGATTGGTTGGCTTTATTAAATTTCCTGAGGATAACTTTATATCTAGTGTATCTGGCAAAAAAATCAAGCTAAAAGGTTTTTTTTTAAAAAGATATAAAGATATTACTTTTAATGTTAAAATGGATAGTAATTATCAATCCAAAAACATCAACTCAGTGGCTTTTAATCTTGTAAGAGTAAAGAAAAAATTCTGTTTCCGAATTTTATTGTATTTTATTGTTTTCTAATGACTATTATGTCATTCTTATGGGTAGATATTAATATCTATGTGCAAACCCGTTCCTGTGTTGTTGGGTTGTTATGAGGACCAAATGAGTTAATATAAGCTTTTAGAACAGTGCCTTGCTTAGTATGTTACTTTGCTGAGGCTGCCATAACAAAATGCCACAGAACAGGTGGCTTAAACAACAGAAGCGTATTTTCTCACAGTTTTAGAGCATGGAAATCCAAGATCAAGGTGTCTGGCTATTCTTACATGGACCTTTCTGTGAGCACACACACTCCTGGTTTGCTGTCTTCTTCATGTGAGGACAATAGTCTTACAGAATTAGGCCCCACTCTTATGTCCTCATTTAATCTTTTTTTTTTCTTTCTTTTTTTTTTTTTTTTTTTTGAGACAGAGTCTCGCTCTGTCGCCCAGGCTGGAGTGCTCACTTCAACTTCCGCCTCCTGGGTTCAAGTGATTCTCCTGCCTCAGCCTCCTGAGTACCTGGGACTACAGGCATGTGCCACCATGCCCAGCTCATTTTTGTATTTTTTAGTAGAGACGGGGTTTCACCATGTTGGCCAGACTAGTCTCAAACTCCTGATCTCGTGATCCGCTAGCCTCGGCCTCCCAACGTGCTGGGATTATAGGTGTGAGCCACCATGTCTGGCCTGTCCTCATTTAATCTTATCCCTTTAAAGACCCTCTCTCCAAATACAGTCACATTCTGAGGTACTAGGAGTTAGGGCTTCAACATACGAATTTTGGAGGGGGACATATATTGGTCCACAATACTTGGTAAACTTTAGGGGCTATCATCATCATCATCATCTTCAATGACAACAACATCATTATCACTGGAAAACACTGTGCCAATGCAGTGGCATTGGTACCAAGGTAAAATACAAGGAATTTAAGGACAAAAAAAGAAGACAGAAACATAAAAATATTAATACAGAAGGAAATAAATAGTATAAGAGAGTTACAGAGAATGCTGTGAATGTTTTGGGTGGGAAAAGATTGTTTCATGAATCCAGAAAGGATTAAGTAGAACTTGGTGAAGGAAGTTGAACTGGGGAAATGCAAGAGATAGACAGTCTAAGAACACTGAATAGTTTAGTCAAATAGGGAAAGCTCATGAGTTAGATTAACTGAATGGTGAGTAAGGAAATAGTGGGGAAAACTCCTTACCTAATTTCAGCTAATAGAGGGCCTTCGATGCTAAATGAAGGAATCTGCACTTTGTTCTATTGACAGTAATGAAAGTTAGTTATTTGAGATGGAGTCTCGCTCAGCCGCCCAGGCTGGAGTGCAGTGGCACGATCTTGGCTCACTGCAACCTCTGCCTCCCAGGTTCAAGCGATTCTCCTGCCTCATCCTCCCTGGTAGCTGGGATTACAGGTGTGTGCCACCACGCCGGGCTAATTTTTGTATTTTTAGTAGAGATGGGGTTTCAACATTTTGGCCAGGCTGGTTTTAAACTCCTCACCTCAGGCCTCCCAAAGTGCTGAGATTACAGGCGTGAGCCACTGCACCTGGCCAGTTTTATTTATTTTTACACATGAGGGTAATGCCAGCATTGTGCATTAGGAAGGTAAATCTGACCCACCTCAGCCTCCCAAAGTGCTGAGATTACAGGCGTGAGCCACTGTGCCTGGCCAGTTTTATTTATTTTCACACATGAGGGTAATGCTAGCATTGTGCATTAGGAAGGTAAATCTGACAGAATTATGTAAGATGAATTGGAGGAGAGGGCAGGTAGAATTAGACAAATTTTGAAGTTATTTACATCCCACAACATGGATGAACCTTGAGGACATTATGGTAAGTGAAATAAGCCAGTAACAAAGACAAATATTGTGTGATTACACTTACATGGAATACTTAGTCAAATTAATAAAGATAGAAAGTAGAATGGTAGGGCTGGAGGAAGGGTGGTATAGGGAGTGATTAATGGATACAGAGTTTCAGTTTTGCAAAAATTTTGTATATCTTAACACAATTTAAAAACAAAAACCTTCTGAAATACAGTAAAACTGCAAACTGTATTGAGTGCTGTCACTTACCACAGGGTGCTATGAGAAATAAAACCTAACAAGTTTAAAGTGGAAAAAATAATTTTTAAGTTGCTGAAGTCATCCCAGTGAACACTAATGAAGGCTTAAACGAATATTGGCAGCCAGCAAGAAGAACAAACAAGCCAGATTTGAGCGATAGAGTCAGCAGTTCTTATAAAAAGAAGGGATTTAAGAAGAGTCAGAAATGTGTTTTGAGGTTTTTTTGCCTGGGGGTTGGGGAGCTGAAGCTGGTACTGAAAAAGAGAATAAGTGAGTTCTGAAAAGAATTAAATTTAATCTTTGACATTCTAAGTATAAATATGTTAGTAGAACATCCTCTTAAAAATGTGAGGCCAGCAGTAGAAATTTGGAATTTGATAACATTTAAGAGTTGCACAGGCCAGGTATGGTGGTTCCTGCTTATAATCCGAACACTTTGGGAGGCTGGAGCAGGAGGATTGCTTTAGAACAGGAGTTCAAGACCAGCCTGGACAACATAGCAAGATTCCAGCTCTGCAAAAAATTAAAGAAAAACTAACTGGGCATGGTGGCACACACCTGTAGTCCTAGCTACTCAACTAGGCTGAAGTGGGAGGGTTGCCTAAGCCCAGGAGTTCAAGGCTGCAGTAAACTGTGATTATGCCACTGCACTCCAGCCTGGGCAATGGAGTAAGACTCTGTCCCTAAAAATTAAAAAAAAAAAGAGTTCCACAATGTCTTATGCTGCATAGAAAAAGATGTGAACCAAAGAAAAAAACATCTTTGAGAGAGAACATAGTGTCATTAACAATGTGGGGGTGGAGGTAGAAGCCAGATTGCAAGGAATTAAGAAGCAAGTAGGTGCTGAGAAAGGAATAGTCTAACTATATTAAAAATATATGAAACAACTTCAGTGAAGGGAATTGGGGGAAAGGTGTTGACATAAGTAGCTTTGGAAATGATTAAGAGTGTAAGAGTAAAGGCAAAAGGAACTACACATAAGCACTGTACTCTAGTTGATAAAGTTATTACCCATGGGTGTACAAGTTAACAATTCTGATAATGCTATACATGTATATGGGAATTAAACAATTACGTAAATCAATAGCAAATGTTTGAGAGCCGGGTTTCTCATTGTTGGAGCGGGAATTTACAGATAAGCAAAGGGCTGGAAACAGCATGAACTCGTGTACCTTAATACAATATAGATGGTTAGTTACATATAGAAATATTTATAGATAAGTGTATATACATGGGTTAGTGTGTGTATTTCTTGGCTTTCTCAGCTGAAAGGGTCTATAAGCAATGACATCCCAGTAGCAATGAGCTCACCTAGTACCCATATCTTGGTTTCTAATATCATTCTCCAATAAAAGGTACCAGGGCTCCTTGGAGAAATGGTTGATTCTAGGACTGGGGCAAGAAATACACAAGATGGACCTGGACCATCTCTTAATGCCAGTAATAAAGAAGTATTCAAAACAAACAAGAAAAACAAAAACGTCTATTGATGAGGATATGTCAAAAGGATATAGGAGCTAACTAAGAGAGCTCCCACTGACCAAAGCTGAAAGAATTTGAGCATCAAAATTTTAAAAATAGCATTGGATAATAACTCAAAGTATAAACTAAATATCCATGAGTCCATACTGATATAAATAAATGAGGGAGAAGAGACATGTCTTCCATGCTGAAGAATTCCAAATAATATATGTAACTATTCTGCCCTCAAGTAGAGGGAGCATAACTCCCCACTCCTAAGGTGCTGGCTATACATGTTAACTTCCTGCTAGTGTGTACATATGGAAAGGGAGGAAAAAGGTAACTTTACAGTGGGGAAACCTGAGAAATACTGCCTTAGCCAGGCGATCAAGGTCAGTAGCAACAGTGATAAATCACATTAATATCATGTATCATTGATGTGATATGATGAAGATGGTACTTTATCTCGGTGGTCTTCCTGTCAAAAACCCATTTTCTCTAGTCTAATGAGAAAAACATCAGACAAATTCCAGTAGAGGGGCATTTGACAAAATACTTGACTGGTACTCCTAAAAACTGTCAAAGTCATCAAAAACAAGGAAAGGCTAGAAAACTGTCACAGCCAAACAGTCTAAGGAAACATGACAAATAAATATAATGTGGTATCCTAGATAAGACCCTAGGATAGAAAAAGGACATTGGTACAAACTAAGGAGATCTGAAAAAAGTACAGTTTAGTTAATAATAACATTTCAATATTGGGTCAGTAATTGTAACAAATGCGCCATACTAATGTAAGATGTTAATAGTAGGGGAAGCTGGGTGAAGGCATGTCTTAGTCCACTT
Source organism: Homo sapiens (assembly GCF_000001405.40). Classification (NCBI taxonomy): domain Eukaryota; kingdom Metazoa; phylum Chordata; class Mammalia; order Primates; family Hominidae; genus Homo; species Homo sapiens. Next base: position 99,553,832 of record NC_000006.12, on the reverse strand, counting down.
GGGCTAATATAAGAAAGTACCATAGACTGGGTGGCTTTCACAACAGACATTTATTTCTCACAGTTCTGGAGGCTGGGAAGTCAATAACGGTGGGTATAAGAGAACTGTGCATGATCTCAGTGTTTGAGTCTACAAAAATAAAAGGCAGAGGAATATAATTAGGTAGAGTTTGTTTTGCTTTTTTCAAGGGAAATTTGAGCATATTAGTATGTGATGGAAGATTTACTGAAGGAGGAAGGTTAAAGATGAAAAAAATAGCAGGAGTTATCAATTGAATAGATGATAATAAGTGTATAAGTGGTAAGACAAACAATAGAGAGGAGGGATGTATTTTTCTCCAAGTTGGAGGAAAAGGATTAAAAGACAGAAAAAAATGCAGAGCAGTTTTAGCATGGAGTAACAGACATGTGACAGTATCAGGTAAATATATTCTCAATAGAGGTGTTAGGTGTCAAGGTCCAGGGGATGGGGATGTAGATTTGTTTTATATACAGAGATAATTTTACTTTGTTGATTGTCTACCATTATATAAGAACCTGTTGTGCTGGTATACTTTACATCACAAGGATTTGTAAAACTCAGAAACCTTAATAGGTACGTCTTAAATTTAAATAAAGGAGAGAAGAAAGGAAAGATTATAAATTTACTAATGTCAAGTTTAAATTATTCTAGGTTTCAAATCCTGGCAGATATTACACATCTAAATTAGCTGTAGGGCACTGAATTTGCAAAACAAATCTTTTTGAAAACATAGTGCATAGAAGAAATGGAATTTCTTTCTTTTTTTTTTTTTGAGATGGAGTCTCACTGTCACCCAGACTGGAGTGCAGTGGTGTGTTCTCAGCTCACTGCACCCTCTGCCTCCCGGGTTCAAGGGATTCTCCTGCCTCGGCCTCCCGAGTAGCCGGGACTACAGGTGCATGCCACTACACTCGCCTAATTTTTGTATTTTTAGTAGAGATGGGGTTTCACCATGTTGTCCAGGAGGTCTCGAACTCCTGACCTCAGGTGATCCACCCACCTTGGCCTCCCAAAGTGCTGGGATTACAGGCATGAGCCACTGTGCCTGGCCAGAAATGGAATTTCTTTTAATTTCAGTGAAATCACTTGGGCTTTGTACAAATGGAAGCTGACACTAAACATTTTTTAGGACCTGTCAGTAGTTACTTGGTTGAATTAAATGTGTCATAATGGCTTGAATACAGTTTCTCAAATAGTACTTATGTGTATATGCTCACACCATTTTAAGGAGATGGGGGATTGATGGTTAACATTTTTTTTTCATTTGTACTTTATTTAGTGACTAACCAATAAAGTAATAGATAATAGAGTACTAACTTTATGTGTTACTACTACTACTTTATGAGTAACTCGAGACCTTTGCATATATATTAATGCTTTTATTAAAATATATATTTTGATAAATACCTGGTCATTGTAAAAAGTTTAGAAAGTGCAGATTAGTAAAAAGTTCTTAAATCTCACAAATAACCACTGTTAACATTTTTTTGGTGTACTATCCTCCCAATATTTTATATGTATATTTTTTACCAATTGTATATATTGTAAACACATATGTAACCCCTGTGTTCCTTCTAAGCTCAGTCACTGGAAAACAGAAGAATACCATTCTGTAGCTGAAAAGATTTTAGAAATGATAAAAGCCAGTGATTTTTTTTTCCTGATCTTTTTCTTTTTTAAACATCAGAATCCTTTCTTAAGGTAGTAAATATAAAATTGAAGCTGTGTAGAGTGTCCTGCCCCCCAGTCTTTCCCCTTCCCTGAAAGTAAATAAAAATCTGCGTCCGTAAGTGTTGCCAAGAATTCCTACTGAAAATAATTTTGCTCTACCCTCTAATATTCTGCTCTGTTAAAGGAATTTTGAGTTAATTTATTTCCCATTTTCTCAGTTTAAATTTTTTTTTTATTTTCTGCAGTAAAAACTAGATTTTCATATGCCTTTCCAAAGGAATTTCCTTATAGGATGAATCATGTAAGTATATGATATAAAATGGAACAATTATCAAAGCTATATATAAACTAGCTCTATTTTATATTAGACTAAATTTAATAGTTTCCTAGAAATGGCAGTTTCAAATATTACATAAATACAGACATTATTCTAAATTAAAGCTAAATAGCTTTTACCATTTAAAAAAAATACTTCATAGTGGCGATTATCAACCCTGGCTGCTCATTAAATCACCTTGGGAACTTGTAAATAATACTGATGTTGGATCCTTTCCAGAACAACAAAATCAGAATTTTCAGCCTTGGGGCTCCCAACATTGGTACTGTGTAAAAGGTCCCAGGTGATACTACTATTTAGCTGGGATTAAAAACTAATGGAACAATATGAAATATAAGGTGAATTTCTATTGACATTTTAATAGGTATGTCCTTTTTCCACCTTGCAAGGGATTTGTTTATTCTCTTTAAGTTACATTTTTTAAATTAAGTAGAAATAATTGTATTTTTGCATTTGCTGAGTAGAAAGTATACTGGAAAATCTGATGGTTTTACAGGATATTTTAAATAAAAGTGAGTAATAAGAATGATTGTGAGAAGCTGGCTTTTCCTTACAAGGATTAAAATCCTTATAATCATAATTGCATTTCTAATAGTAATTTTTTATTGCAGATATTTATTTTAATATAAACTATGTTTATTGTCTGGATTTTTAAAACTTTTTAGTAAAAATTTTTGATAAATTACTATAATGTCTGTAATTTATGTTAGATTAAGTGGACTTATCTAATTTGGTTTCATATTGACATTTCATTGATAATCTTTGTTTTAAACAGATATTAGAATGTGAATTCTATCTGTTAGAACTAATGGTAAGTAAATCTTCTGTGATTAATAGATTAAAACATTTTTAAATTAAATGAAGTTGGAAATTATTTAAAGAAATGATTTTAGAGAGGTACATTTTAAAACCATCCACCTAATATGTGATGGTGAAATCATGGTAGCCTATTTATATTAGCACCTAGAGTCTCTCTGAAGCCTGTAAAATAATTTGTATATCCTACTTAGGATGGGAAAATTTTTCTGTTCTATAGTAAGTAACTATAATGAAAGGATTACAAACAGACAAGTCAGGACATTAAACCACCATAAATTATGTGCACAATTTGTGTGTGCGTGCAGTGTTATTTAAAGATAGATTATGTCTTTGGCAGAATTCTGCTCCTCCAGTTGGGAATTATGAATTTATAGGCTAATAAGAGGTTTCAGTGTGTTGCAGATGTGACACTTTGAGTCTCTAAGGGAATGAATGGATGCTGACTGACTGCCAACCGATTTATCAAGGTATATTCCAGAGAGAGCACTGCCTTCACTATTACGGTAGAGTTTAGGGCTGTCATACTGCTAGCTTAAGAGAATAAAAGGGAAGCAAGCATGAGTTAGTGAAATTCACTTTGAAATACACAATTACAAATCAGTTGGGTAATGATAACATTTTTGTGTTGTAATAAATCTGTTTTTTATACATACACATTTTTTAAACTGTTTCTAGGATTGTTGCTTGATAGTGTATCATCCTTATAGACCTTTGCTCCAGTATGTGCAGGACATGGGCCAAGAAGACATGTTGCTTCCCCTTGCATGGTAATTAGAACAGAAGTTATTAATAGTGTAACATGTTATTAGATAGGAAGGTTGACAATTAAATATGAAGTTAAGTATTTTTAAAGTCATTAAACTATTGCCCCAAGATATTTTATGTTGAGCAAAATACCACTTGTTGAATTTTAATAACTATAGTGGTGTAAATGCCAAAATGAAAACAATCCTAAATTATCTGTTCCATAAATATACCTATTAAAATTTAATTTTATACAAAACACAGACTGTTAACATAAAAATTAAGACTGAAGTTATCTTTAAAGTAATCAGAATACTTTTTGGTAGTCTGCAACATACATATAAATTTACTGTATAATTTCTGGTTTTTTAATTTGATTTTTCTGATTTTTAAAAAATTAGAAAAATGTGTTTATAATTTGTTATGAGATTTTGAAATTTAAAATATATTTAGCTGTAATTTTATTCATTGATATGTGCTTATTTGTTGTCACATTCATGTATCCATCCTTTTGCCTTGATGTTTTCACTTTTATAGCTGTGCTTCAGTAGTATAAAAGGAAATAAATGTGTGCAAAGATGGGAAATCTGGCCCTCTCTGGAGGAAATATACAATCAGATGAGGTAGTTCTGCTTTCAGTAATAATATGATTTACATTTCTATAGGAGGATAGTGAATGATACCTACAGAACGGATCTTTGCCTACTGTATCCTCCTTTCATGATAGCTTTAGGTATGTAAGCATGGTGTGCCTTTATGAGTTAAATTGTTATAAACTTATTTAGGTCATCCTAAACTAAATTTCACCCTATTGTACTTTATGTTTTTATGTTCCATGAAGTAATAGACTAATCCTTGCATGTGAGCTTTCAATAATATGAACTGCAACTGTCATAAATCAGGATTATTATTCCCCCACCCCCTTTTTGGTAAGTTTTTTTTTTTTTTTTTTGAAACCATTCAAAATAGTTTTAATCGGTGTCTGAATAGAACATATTTGTTTGTTTAGAGGGAAAAGTTCAGAATTAAGCCAGCTAATATTAGTTGTAGCATGTAAAATAATTGGGGCTTTCATATCCTGAGCCCAAACAAATACTCAGAGGTTGAGTAAAGGAGCATCTGTGGTCCATAATGCTTGGCTGGAGGAAGACGTTAAGTACATTCATTCTACAGTCTGTGGAAAGCAGTGCTGTAATGGGTGGAGTCAGATAGTCCTAGGCTTAAACTTTACCTCCTTTACAATTGTGGGAAAATTATCTGACCTTTCCGTGTTTGTTTCCTTAATTGTAAAATGGAGAGAATACTAATAATTCCACTGAGCCGTTTGAAGAATTAAATGAGATAGGTTGTAGAGCACCAAATAATGCCTGTTATATATTGGGCACTTGTTAATTTTTGTTCCTTTTCCTTCTATTGATTTTTTTTTTTTTTTTTTTTTGAGATGGAGTCTCACTCTGTCTCCCAGGCTGGAGTGCAGTGGTGTGATCTTGGCTCACTGCAACCTCTGCCTCCTGGGTTCAAGCGATTCTCCTGCCTACAGGAGGATTATAGGTGTCCACCACCATACCTGGCTAATTTTTGTATTTTTAGTAGAGACAGGGTTTCGCCATGTTGGCCAGGCTGGTCTTGAACTCCTGACCTCAGGTGATCCACCCTCCTTGGCCTCTCAGAGTGCTGGGATTACAGGCGTGAGCCACTGCACCCCAGCCCCTTCTATTGATTTTTATAACTCCATCCTCTTGATTTTCCCCTCTTATTTTCCATTGGTTTGTCTTTGTTCAGTTGTTCAATTATTCCTTAAATGTTGATGTTTCTTGGCCTTCTTACATCAGGGCTGACAAATAGGTTATACTTACACTTCTGTATTACTGGCAGTTCCCTGAAAGGACTGGATTTGAAAGGATTTTGAGTGGTGTCCTACCCAGTGGGTAGGAATACTGGGATCTGCATAGGTAGGAAGGAAGGGATAACAGAACATGTGTCACATCTTTGCCATCCCTGCTGTCTTCTTCTTGGGTACTTTAACTGAGATTCATGGCTTCTACTATCACTTACATGCCGAAACATTTAAATCTCTTTATTTAGCCAAGATCTTGCCACTTGGCAGTTCTTTATATCCATCTTCCTTTTACATAGCTCCGCTTGGCATCCCACCAGCACCTCAGACTCATGATGAGGATTGAGCTTATCACTTTGCCCCAAAATATGTTCCTCCTTTTAATGTCTTTGCCAGTTTGGTGAATAGCACTAGTTATATACCTTAGTTGGAAACCCAGCAGTTAGGCCCTTTCATCTCCCTCAATACCCACATGTAGTTGTTTACCAGTACATTTTGTGCCTTCCTCTCGATTGTTCCTTCTGTAATCTCATAGTCATCTTCTCATTTCTATCCATGTTACCACAGCAGTCTCCTAACTGGCTTATTAGCCTCCAGCACTCCCATCCTCAGAGAGCCTGTCTATCTTCCAAACTGTTGAGCTAGGCTAGTGGTTTCACCTGGGGATAATTTTGCCCCGAGGGGACATTTGGCAATGTTTGGTTTTAGTTGTCATAACTAGGGTAGGGTGCTACTAGCATCTAGTGGGTAGAAGCCAGGGATGCTGCCAAGCATCTTGTAGTATTCAAGACAGTGTCAAAGAATTGTTCAACCTAAGATGTCAGTAGTGCCAAGATTGAGAAACCCGGAGCTAGCCAAATTCGTCTCCCAATTGATATACATACTATTCTCTTCTCCCACTCTCATTTTTTTTTTTTGTAAGACTTGGCTTAGATATCAGCTCTTCAGTGACCCTCCCCCACCCTTTCAGCATCACCTCAGTCTGGGTTTAGGATGCTTCCTCAATCTTCAGTGTACTCTATGCATGCCCATGTTAATAGCATTGTCCACTGTATTTTAATTTCCTGTTTTTATCATGTCAGTCATTTGGTTTTTTTTAACCTCTTCTTGACCTAAGCCCTACTCATAGCTTTGCTTGACTTAGGGCAACCAGTGTGTCAGTTCACATTTGAGTTGCTATTTGCCTAGAATGTCATCCTTAGCAAAGACATGGATAACCAGACCACGGAGTATAACTTAAGCTGGAGTGGGTTAAGGGTATACAGGCTGCTCAGTAGAAATTGTTTTAGGCAAAATTATGATGTAGATTCCTCTCTTTTGTTAGTTTATATTGTATATAACATATATAACTAATATTGTATACAGTATATTACATTTATTTTCTAACCTTTATTTGATTACAACACTGAATTCTGTAAGGATGTGCCCAGCTTTCACATAACTTGATCATGTGCTAATAATGAAAAGGAAGAAAAAAGGCCAGGCAACACTGCTTTTAACTGAAATGTGGAAACACAGTCAACATTGTTAAAACCTAGTATATTAATTAACATTTTTGTTTGTTTTGTTTTGTCACACTGACTTCTGGGTGCAGTTTAACGGCTACTTTGTACACTACTCAGGGATAACTTCCCTTTTCTGCTCTCCTCATTGGATGTTTTTCCTCTTTAACGTGCCTGACTCTCAAGGCAACTGCACCATGACTAGCACGCAGTGAGGACCAGATGTCAAGAACTTGATGTAATCTAGTAATTTTTTCTGTCTCGGATTACATTGATGAGATGGTCAGTGGTAACTCTCATATGTAGCTGTTTAATGTTTTTTAAAGAGTGTTGGAAAATACACAGGAAATAGTGAAAAATCTTTGTTAGATCATATATTCTGTGTTTGCAGTTAAACATGGACAGTTGTCTCTCATTTTCATTTCAGCTTGCCTACATGTAGCCTGTGTTGTACAGCAGAAAGATGCCAGGCAATGGTTTGCTGAGCTTTCTGTGGATATGGAAAAGGTATTCCCTTAGTTGTATGTAAACTTGGATGTTTAAAAATTAATGTCATATTTACTTATCATGAGCCTAAAATCTTGTGATGTCCACCAGGCTAAGAAGATTATTGGTTACAAAATATTAAGAAACATGGGCTGGGCATGGTGGTTTGTGTCTGTAATCCCAGCACTTTGGGAGGCCTAGGTGGGCGGATCACCTGAGGTCAGGAGTTCAAGACCAGCCTGACCAATATGGTGAAACCCCGTCTCTACTGAAAATACAAAAATTAGCTGGGTGTGGTGGCATGCACCTGTACTCCCAGCTACTCGGGAGGCTGAGACAGAATTGCTTGAACCTGGGAGGCAGAGGTTGCAGTGAGCCAAGATCGTGCCACTGCACGCGAGCCTGGGCAACAGAGCGAGACTCCGTTTAAAAAAAAAAAAAGTTTGGTAGGAAGAGTTAATGCTGATTATTTAAGTTATGTATCTCTTTTCAGTTTAGGATTAAACAGAATGGTAAACTTTTGGTTTAATTGGTTGCAAAGTAGCCTCTCATTCCCAGGATTATTTTAAAAGCTCCCTGGTAACCACTGAATACTACTGTGAACTTCTGTAACATAGCCTATCTCCTGGCAGAATGGCTTTTGCTGTGTTTCTAGCTTTTCTGCTCAAGTGTTAAATGCATTAAAATTAATCCTAAGGTTAGGTTCTACTCAGGTGGGAAAAAAATAGCTAATTTGTTAACTAGTTGTTTCAAATTTGTAGCTGCCAGTTTTTGAGCACCTTAATGTATGTGTAGTAACAGAGAATCAAAACATCTTTTGTGCACTACCCCCGATTAAGTTGTTTAAAATAATTTATACTAGAGGAGTGTGCTCTATAGTGGTATATTCCCTCATGATTAGAACCTTTATTCTTAGTATGTTTCAGTTTAAAAGATACCATCAGATGGAAGGAAATCAGCTGCAGAGATAGATAAGAATGGACAATGCACACATGCTGAAAAATGAGATGCTAGAAGGAAAATCCTAAACAGCACTGTGGTGAAAAATACTGCTTTCAAATTTATCAGGATTTAAGGACAGAGACTATTTACTGTTTTCTGAGGGTTGTGTAGTGATGTATGCTCTTTATATAAAAAATGTTGCTTGTTTTTGCCACTGAGAACTTTTCAAATATTTTCTTCTAGATTTTGGAAATAATCAGGGTTATTTTAAAACTATATGAGCAGTGGAAGAATTTCGATGAGAGAAAAGAGATGGCAACCATTCTTAGTAAGATGCCAAAACCAAAACCACCTCCAAACAGGTACTTTGTAGACTTTAATTATTGATGTCATTTAATCATATATCATACTTACTATATTTTTCTTAGATTATGTTGTTTTGTAGTTTTTAAAACATTTCTTCCAAAACTTCATGATCCATGTTAATTTTATTTTTTAAATTTGTGATTTGATTGAGAATGTCTCATTTAAAAAAATCACTAATCTGATTAGTAACTTTTCCTAATGCAGTGGAGGTATATTACAGGTATCTCTCAACATATGGTCATATACCATAAATTTAAAGCTGACAGAATTAGGTAAGTTCATCTGAAATTCAGGGCAGAATTCAGAACTATAGTAGTTTCATGTCAGTTTGATTCTGTGCCATCTTTTTTTTTTTTTTTTTTCACTGCTGGCTATTGTCCTGTTTTATAAATTTCAGTAGCAATTTTCAAAAATTTCAATGAATGATCTGATATTGTAAAGATAAAGAATTTTGGTTTTTAAGTGACCCTAAGGTCCATGGCACATAAGAATATATTTTTGCTAAAAATGAATCACCTGTGCTAAGAGGGTTTTTTTTGTTGTTATTGGGGTGTATGTGTGTGTTTTAAGTAAGATGTGTTCATTTAGTTCAGTGGTTCTCAGCCCTCACTGTGTATCAGTTCATTTGGGGCAGGGAGAAAAAGTCAGAAGGGAAATAAAGAAATGCCATCCATCTTAATTGTTTCTTTAGAAAAATGATTGTTATATAACAAGATAGATTTATGGATTGCTACTCATAAGTTAATGTTACAATTTGGAAAAAGTTAATACTTTATTCAAGGAGCTGTTTAAGGCAGTCATTCAAACAGCTACCTTTGGATGCATTTTTTGCAGAAATTCCCTGAGTGATTCTCCACTAGTGGCAGGGCCTGAAGCTGCAAGATGATGGTGGACAAGATAAGGCAATAATCCTATTGCCAAAGTTACTGGTATTTTCAGTTTTAGTTATTTTTAAGTATTCAGCATTTTTATTTTAAGTATTCAGCATTTTCCAGGAAATTACCATATTTCTTGCTGACTTATAAAGGTTTGCTGTATTTATATATGATTTTATTATGCCTTTGGACAACAGTTTTGGTTTTTTTTTTTTTTTGAAGAACACTTCTTGTTTTTCATAAATAGTAGGAATAGGATTTTATATGTAAGATTTAATTTTATAGGAAATTTGTTTAGAAGAAGCTGTAATCTCTATGTTGAGTGATACCTGTAATAACAATGAAATCCCATACCCTAATTTAAAGTTTTTGAGTATATATGGACACTAACTTCCAGAATGCTTGTTATATGTGAGGGCACAAAGTTATATAAGAATAAAAACATAAAACCAATGTTTGTTAGTCTTCTGGATTTTAATTTTTCACGTGTCTTATAATGAGGAATGTCTTTGTTTTGTATAGTTGTGCCACAGAATAATGAATTTAAAAGTCAGTAGGCTTATCAGGGTGTAAAAATGGATCTTTTAATTGGTATAAAATCTCTTTCTTCCCCATTTGAACAGTGAAGGAGAGCAGGGTCCAAATGGAAGTCAGAACTCTAGCTACAGCCAATCTTAAAACATTCCGAAGAATTCCATAGTGGACCACTTGGAAATAAACCATTGGACAGATTTCAGTAATGTCTTCAGTGGAACACAAATGAAAATGAATAGCTTGTTTCTGTCAAGCATATTGGAAAGTGATTTTATTTTTGCAAAATAAGTTTTTCTTTAATATGATTCTAGTACATAATTGATTAAAATCTCTTGATTATAAATGTTTGGAAAGGTTCTAAGGGGACCTACAGACAGACATACATAGACATTTCAAAATTAATAGCTTTTGATTAGTATAATATTTCTTAATTTGGATAATAAAAATTGTAGCTTTTTATTAAGCCAGGAAACATGAAGCATAATTTGTTTAAAATTCTCTTTGGTCATTGAGGGACCAAAAAAGGACGTAAAATTTACAGTCAATCTATGAGGGTTTTTTTCCCTCCATAAGTTTAACTTTAAAACTGTATTTAAGGAATCAAATCTTACAAAATCCTGGAAGATTTTGGTAATGATGTTGATAATTTCAGGGAAATTAATCAAGTACCTATATTGATTTAAAAGTGTATTTTATTCAGTAGTTTGAGGATCTTGCCATGGAAGATACTAGCCCAGCCTAGCAGAAAAGTGCAATATGTATAGCATACTTTGACATTTTAAACATGATAGTCCATAACCATTTTGAAATGCTGGGCAAACTACATGAAGTTATTTATAATTAATTCACAGCTAATCAGGCATTTTGAAAGCTTAATTGGATTCAAAAACCATAATGTTGGAATTTGGTAAAATTTTAATGTTGATTTTTACTGTGAAAAGGTTTTTATAAGATATACACACCCTAGTTTAATGTTGTGTCTTGGTGTGGATTTACAGATTTACTACAGGTATTCTGAACCAGGAACACAATCAGGTTTCAGGCCAGTTTGATACTGGCTGTCCTTAATTCTAATATGAGAGTAGGACATCATACTAAATGTTATGTCAGTGGGACTGTACTGTCTGTGGAACTTAGCAAATTAATCATTTTCTTCAGACTTGAAGGAGAGTGATAAATAAAATTTGGAGTCATAGGATATTGATGCACAATTTAAGGATTAAACATTTTTAATCAATTGTGGATGATGGCTTATTAAATGTTGACTTCCTAGTATAAAACTGCAAGAATAAAAGTAACTTCTCCAGCTGTATCGACTAGTGTCTTGAATTTATCTTTTTGAATTTGCCTGATGTTGTTTTTTGAGAATTCTTCTTCCTTTAGTTAAGTGTTAAAGCCTTTTATAGGTTGTCAAGGGGGTAATTTCAAATCATTACAAACAGATTTTAAATAGAAAATTTATTTCTGATGGAGCGTATCAAATGAGCTGGAAAGCGAGACTGTGTAAAGTCAGACTGATGACATATATAGGTTTCCTGGGCTTAATAAGAAAAAAAGCTCTCCTCAGGTCTGAAGGAATTAATGTTGGGCTTAGGTAAGACCTATAGTCTTTAAGTGTTTATTTTTAAAATTAATACCATGCCTCATAGTTTTGTTTTCAGTCTCTTATTGTGGAAGATTTAAAACAACATATACAGGAGTAAAGTAAGGAACCTCCATGTACCTATCATCTAGCTTCAGTAGTTATCAATTTATGGCCAATTTCATTTCATCTAAACTCCCACCCACTTTCCGTAAGTTGCCATCCCCCATCTTATTTTGAAGCAAATCCTAGATATCATATAATTTTATCCATAAATATTTCAGCATATATTCCTAAGAAATAATAGCTCTTTAAAAAAACTAAAAGTATTATTGTGCCTCAAAAAGAATTAGTAAAAATAATATCAGATTTTCAGTTATTTCACAAGTATAAAAATTGTTAGAGTTCTAGTCAGGATCTAAATAAGGATCACATATTACAATTTATTGACAAGTCTTTTGTCTTGTTATTATTTTATTTTCTTTTTTTTTTTTTAGATGGAGTCTCACTCTGTCGCCCAGGCAGGAGTGCAGTGGCGCAATCTTGTTCACTGCAACCTCTGCCTCCTGGGTTCGAGTGATTCTCCAGCCTCAGCCTCCAGAGTAGCTGTGTCTACAGGTGCATGCCACCACGCCTGGCTAATTTTTTGTATTTTTATTAGAGACAGGGCTTCGCCATGTTAGCCAGGCTGGTCAGGAACTCCTGACCTAAGTGATCTGTCCACTTCAGGCTCCCAAAGTGCTGAGATTACGGGCGTGCGCCACTGCACCCAGCCATGTCTTTTTAAATTCATGAATTCCTTCCCAGTCACATTTTTAAAATTCCTGTTTTTGGTTTGCTTGTCTACTAAGAGTCTCTCACCATCTGGATTTTGCTGATTGCATCCTTGACATGCCATTTAATGTGTTATTTTCTCCTCTATATTTTCTGTAAATTGGTAATTGAATCTACAGGCTTGATCAGATTCAGGCTTGCTTGTTTGCTTGCTTCCTTTTTTTCTGTCTTTTTTTTTTTTTTAGTAGACCACTGTACAAATTAAGTAGTGGTCTTTAATCAGGAGACATAAAGTGGCTGGGTTTCTCTATGATTTAATAGCAGCCATTGATGATATGTATTGTTTTTAAAAATCCAATATTACCATAGTTGTCCAGTATGATAGCTACTAGCCACATGTGGTTATTGAACACTTAAAACGTGGCTAGTGTGAATTGAGATGTGCTGTAAATGTAAAAATATATGTTGGGTTTCAAATAGTACAAAACAAAATAATATAAAATCTCTAATTTGTTTATAATGATTACATATTTTAAATATTTTGGATACATAGGATTAAATAAAACATTAAAATTAATTTCACTTTCTTTTTAAATTTTTTAAGTGTAAGATTTAAAATCATGTAATGGTTTGCATTAAAATTATATTGGGCCAGGTGCAGTGGCTCACGCCTGCAATCCCAGCACTTTGGGAGGCCGAGGCAGGTGGATCACCTCAGGTCAGGAGTTCAAGATCAGCCTGGCCAACATGGTGAACCCCCATCTCTACTAAAAAATAAAAAAAATTAGCCAGGCTTGGTGGCAGGTGCCTGTAATCCCAGCTACTCAGGAGGCTGAGGCAGGAGAATTGCTTGAACCTGGGAGGCAGAGGCTGTGGTGAGCTGAGATCATGCCACTGCACTCTAGCCTGGGCAGCCTGGATAATGGAATGAGACTCTGTCTCAAAAAAAAAAAAAAAAAATTCTATTGGACAGTGTTGCTGTAAGACATTATAGAGAAAATGTTAGACCCCTGTCCTGTTCTCCCTACCTCTCATTCCCATTCTCCAGAGGCAGCCACTTTCAACTTTTAGTCACTTCTCTGCTGTTTACTTCATTTCCAAGTGACAAGGTTTTAATTATAACATTTATTTGAACACTTATTAAAAATGTGCCAATTATGTTCTAAGCTCTCTGCATTTATGAAGTAAATTCTTAGAATGATCATTTTAAAAATGATGAAACTCTGGAGCAGAAATATTAAGTAATTTACCCAGTCACAGATTAACTAAGTGACAGAGCTTGGATTAGATTCTAATTCTTAGTATCTGGGCATTTGATCAGACGTGGTGGCTCACGCCTATAATCCCAGCACTTTGGGAGGCTGAGGCAAGAGGATTGAGGCCAGGCATTCGAGACCAGCCTGGGCAACAAAGCGAGACTCTGTATCTGTTTATTAAAAAATAAATAAAGCATTTTTTAAAACCTGGGCATCTAATCTCCAAATATATTAGCATATTGCCTCCTCTGCTTACAATCCCCTCATTTTTTCTTTTTAATTATAAATATTATCTAACTCTCTGCTATGGAAGATGAGGATTTTGCTTTTCATACTTCTCCCCCTATTCTCCTTCCCCAACCTGATCTTACACTGGGACTTCTACTCCTATCATCACTTAATTGTATAATTTTTTTAAATTCATATCGAATATATAAATGTACATAGATAATATTGTCTTCTATAGCATACCATGATTACATTTTCTTTCTTTTATAATATTTTTGTATCTCTGGAAGTAGTAATTGCCTTGGTTGTAATTTGTTCAACTTCATTTGTATCTTCTATTAATTGATCATCAGAATCGTTTGTCATTTTTTATTCTCCAAATCACAGGGAGACTTCTTCGAGTTCTACGGCCCTCAGTCAGGACTGACTACTGTCCAAATAACACAGTTGTCATAACAGAATTGATCATATTGGGACTTCCCTTTGTTTTCTCTTGCATTTAAGAGATATGGGGAATCCAAGTCTTTTTCTTTCACGATAGATAAGGTCTCCCTCTCTCACCCAGGTTGTAGTGCAGTGGCACGATCACAGCACACTGTAACCTTGAACTCCTGAGTTCAAGCAATCCTCCACTTCAGTGTCCTGAATAGCTAGGACTATGGGTGCACAGCTAATTTTTAAATTTTTTGTGGAAATAGAGGTCTCACTGTGTTTTCCAGGCTGGTCTCAAACTCCTGGCCTCAAGTGATCCTCCTACCTCGACCTCCCAAAGCCCTGGGATTACAGGCATAAGCCACTGTACTTAGCTGGTAATCCAAGTCTTTTAAGTAGTACCTTGTTCTGGAGAGTGCAATGGCTTCTCAAAATTCTAAGGATATTAACTTAGGTTTTTTGGTTGTTTTAAAATTTTCTTTGTTCCCTGCATTAACACTACAGGTTGAGCATCCATAATCTGAAAATCTAAAATCCAAAATGCTCCAAAATCCGAAACTTGAGTGCCAACATGATGCCACAAGTAGAAAATTCCCTATCTGATTTTATGAGATGGGTCAAAACTTTGTTTCATGCACACAATTATTTCAAAATACTGTATAAAATTAACTCCAGGCTATTTGTATTAAGTGTACATGAAATATAAATGAATTTTGTTTAGACTTGGGTCCCATCCCCAAGCTATCTCATTATATATAGGCAGATATTTCAAAATTTGAGACACTTCTGGTCCCAGCTGTTTCAGATAAGGGCTATTAAACCTGTATTTCCTTTAAGTTCCTTTTTGCTGTTTGGTTTGGTCATAGTCTTTCAAGTTAGAAGCTTGGCCGTAATTATCTCAGGATCCTTCATATTTGAGAGACACAGAGAAAGCTATCTGGAACATCTCTGTGTACATGGGTAGGACTTTTCAGTGGTGAGCTTCATTATAGGTAAGGGAACAGCAAAACATTTTCCTCAGCCTCACACCCCCAGCATTGTTTTTTAAAGGTTTTTCTTCAGGATGGGTCAGTTTTTCTGGAGAGAAATCTATCTCAGGTAGTAGGAGCTGAGCTGTCAGTTCTCAGAGACGAAATAAGGCAAGAAGCTAGCTCATTGTTCAGTATGCAGAGTTTCACTTTATCTCCTTGTTTTCAGTAAGGAGTCCACTGCCATTTCGGCCCCCAGATGTTTAGGAGTTTTCACCTGCCATCTTTACCCATTAATGTTAAATTAATGCAAACAGTAACACAAAATATCAGCTGCCTACAAACAGGTATCATATTGTACATATTCACACAGTAAGAATAGCAGCAAAGTATTAAATATTTGACATGTTATCTGATTTAATCTTCAAAACTTTACTGTGAAGTAGGAACTATTATTATCCTTATTTGGATTCACTTCAACCACATTCTGCCATTATAATACCTTATTGGCCGGGTGTGGTGGCTCACGCCTATAATCCCAGCACTTTGGGAGGCCGAGGCGGGCGGACTGCCTGAGCTCAGGAGTTCGAGAACAGCCTGGGCAACACAGTGAAACCCTATCTCTACTAAAATACAAAAAATTAGCCAGGTGTGGCCAGGCGCGGTGGCTCACACCTGTAATCCCAGCACTTTGGGAGGCCGAGGTGGGCAGATCACCTGAGGTCAGGAGTTTGAGACCAGCCTGGCCAACATGGAGAAACCCCATCTCTACTAAAAATACAAAATTAGCCAGGCGTGGTGGCAGGTGCCTGTAATCCCAGCTACTCAGGAGGCTGAGTCAGGAGAACTGCTTGAACCCGGGAGGCGGAGGTTGTGGTGAGCTGAGATCGCGCCATTGCACTCCAGCCTGGGCAACAAGAATGAAACTTCACCTCAAAAAAAAAAAAAAAATTAACCAGTTGTGGCAGTGTGCACCTGTATTCCCAGCTACTTGGGAGGCTGAGGCAGGAGAACTGTTTGAACCCGGGAGGCGGAGGTTGCAGTGAGCTGAGATGGAGCCACTGCACTCCAGCCTGGGCAAGAGAGCGAGACTGTCTCAAAAATAATAATAATAATAACTTATTAAAATTTCTCTTTTTCTTCTTATCCTTTGCTCCTGGAGAAACTTGTAGCATTAAAAAGTGGTAGTGATAAAATTATATTTTTCCATTAATAAATTGCTATTTTTGGGGACACCGAAAAATATTTTTTACTGGACGGTAGGATAAGCATTCAATTTTTTGTGTCTAATCATACAAAATTTCTCATAGATTAGCTGCTGATCCTACCTCTATCCAGTATTTCTATGGCATACACATTCTAGATAGCAAAGGGGCACATTATCTCAGAATCCAAGAAACCCCACTGAGATCATAAGCACAGAAGAAAGATTATGTGAATGAAAGAAACCTGAGATATTTTGATTAATTTAGAACTCTGAGGCTATCCACTGTTGCCAGTTTTTTCAGGACATCTTTCTCCTATTCCATTATGAAAGAGATGTAGAGTACATATAGCATTTAAAAATATAATCTGGCTTTTCTCATACATATCTGAAACTTTTGATCTACCCTTATATTATCAAAGTAAAAGTGATATTCTCCCATTACTGAAATAAACAGACATTTATTAAATGATGTAGTAAATCATATGCTGTATATTCACATTTTGAGGTCTCTGATACTACAGACCTTAATAATGGTTTTACTCATAAGAGTTTTGTTGGCATAAGGCCAGGTGCTGTGGCTCACGCCTGTAGTCCCAACACTTTGGGAGGCCAAGGCAGGGTGATTACTTGAACCCAGGAGTTTGAGACCAGCCTGGGAAACATGGTGAAACCCCACTTCTACAAAAAATAGAAAAATTAGCTGGCTGTGGTGGTATGTGCCTGTTGTCCTAGCTACTCAGGTGAGCTTCCCAGGAAGTCAAGCTGCAGTGAGCTGTGATCATGCCACTGCACTCCAGCCAGGAGACAGAGTGAGACCCTGTCTTAAAAAAAAAAAAAAAAAGACTGTTGTATAAGTCAGTGCAGTTTAAAAAGTATAATTTGTCCAGAAGCAGAGGTTGCAGTGAGCGGAGATAGCACCACTGCACTCCACCCTGGGAGAAAGAGCGAGACCCTATCTCAAAAAAAAAAAAAAAAAAAAAAAAGGCTGGGTGTGGTGGCTCACGCCTGTAATCCCAGCACTTTGGGAGGCTGAGGTGGGTAGATCACAAGGTCAGGAGATCGTGACTATCCTGGCTAACACGGTGAAACCCTGTCTCTACTAAAAATACAAAAAAAATTATCTAGGCATGGTGGCGGGTGCCTGTAATCCCAGCTACTCGGGAGGCTGAGGCAGGAGACTGGTGTCAACCCAGGAGGTGGAGCTTGCAGTGAGCCAAGATCATGCCACTGCACTTCAGCCTGGGCAGCAGAGTGAGACTCCGTCTCAAAAAAAAAAAAAAAAAAAAAAACCATATATATATATATATATATATATATATATATATATATATATATATATATATGTATATACACACATAAAATTTGTTAAATCTTTGTATCAGAATGACAACTAAAATTGTCTTTCTAAGTTCGATCTAATATAGAAGATACATTATTCTAATTTATTAACCCTTTGTTTATTTGGGTAAATAGAATACATTATCAAGTTTTTTTCTTAAAAAAAAAAAAAAAAGGGTACCAGGAATCCAAAGGTATATAGTCTTGTTCAAGTGTAGCCAAGTGGGGACAACAGTCCCTGTCCCATGCATACAAAAGGTAAAAATAAGTGCTTACCTACCAAACATATTAAATAAAATTGTCAACAATACTGTTAAAGCCTATTGTGTTCGTCTCCCTTCCCCCATTAGAAACCATTCAGAAGTAGATATTTTTATAATTTATTTATACTTACACTATATATGTCCATATGCCTAAATAATAATATATTTTGTATGTTTAAAAACTATACTGGCCAGGCATGGTGTCTCATGCCTGTAATTCCAGTGCTTTGGGAGGCAGAAGCAGTAGGATCAGTTGAGGCTAGGAGTTCGAGACTAACCTGGGCAACATAGCGAGACCCTGTCTCTACAGAAAGTGAAAAAACTATCCAGGTGTGGTGGTGCGTGCCTGTAGTCCCAGCTATTCTGGAGGCTGAGGTGGGAGGATTGCTTCAGCCCAGGAGGTATAGGTTGCAATGAGCTGTGATCTTGCCACTGCATTTCAGCCTGGGTAACAGTGAAAAAGCTTGTCTTAAAAAACAAACAAACAAACAAAAACTATACAGTATATGTTTCTGTAATTTGCTTTTTTCCCTCAACATTGTAAGAGTCATCCATGTTAATACATGTACCTCTGATTTTTCCATTTTCACTAATCCTGTCATCAGGTGTGTCTAATTGGCCATTAAACCTATCTACCTTCTATTGGGTGTTTAATTTCAGTTACTGTAATTTTGTTATCTAAGTTACTGAATATATTAATCACAGTTATTTTAAAGTCTGTGTCTGAAAACTCCAATCTGTAGATCTTCTGTGGATTTGTTTCTCTTGTCTTGTTTTTCCATTATTTCTCAATCATAAGGTCCTATTGACTGCCGTGCCTATTAATTTTTGATAGAATACCTGAAATTGTATGTGAAAATTGTAAGGTGAAATTGTATGTGAAAAATTGTAAGGAAAATTTGTGGCTGTAGCTCAGGGATCTACAAATTATGCCCCATGGACCAAATCTGACCTGCTACCTGTTTTTGTCTGGCTTTAAGAATGTTTGCTGTATGTTTAAATGATTGAAAAATAATCAAATGAAGAATAATATTTGGCAACACATGAAACATAAAATTCAAACCTAAGTGGCCATAAGTAGAGTTACTGGAATAGTCACATTATATATTGTCTGTGGCTGCTTTTGTGCTGCAACAGCAGAGTTGAGCAGTTGCAACAGAAACCTAATTGGCCACAAGACTAAAAGATTGATTATTGCCAACCTCTGTTCTAGCTAGATAATGGTATCTTTCTCTAGAGAGGATTTACTTCTGGTAGGCCCTTAAGATATTAGGAAGATCACCTTAATTCATTCAGGGATTTAATTGATTCAAAGCTTGTTTTGAGTTCTTGTGGGGGTTGTGAATTTCTGGTTCAACTCTACTTCTAGGGCATAGCCTTTTCAGGATTCCGACTAAAAGCCTGATGTATTTACCCACAATCCTGTTCCTTGATGGGCCCAGTACTTCAATGTTGGTTCATTGTCTACAACTTTCCTTCTCCCTGAGATTATGGCTCTTATATATGTGTATGTGTGTGTGTGTGTATATATATATATCTTGACCTCAGTCAAGATACAGAACATTTCCATCACCCTAGAAAGTTCTCTCCTTGCCTTCATATATGTGTGTGTGTATATATGTATATGTATATGTATACATATGTATATATGTGTATATATACACACACATATATGTGTATATATACACACACACACACTGACAGAAATATATATATTTCTGACATTGTCCTTATAGGTACTACAAGAATGACTGCATGAGTGAGTCTAAAAATACACTACATGGGTCTAAAGAGGCACAGACAAGAGAAAACAGGTTTATTTTGCCACCAGTGCATTAGCACACTAATTAAGTGTAGGACTTAACATTCCAAAGGAATATACCCATGCTAGTGGGAGTCATTTACATTTAGGCATTTCTGTTTTCATTATTTTTAAACTGAGGTATAATCACTTACCAAAAATGTACATTTAAGTGTTTAATGTGTTTTGACAAATGTATATACCTATGTACCAATACCTCAGTCAAGATACAGAACATTTCCATCACCCTAGAAAGTTCTCTCCTTGCCTTTTTTGTTTGTTTTTTTGTTTTTCAATTTTGTTGTTGTTGTTGTTCTGAGACAGGGTCTCACTCTGTCACCCAGGCTGGAGTGCAGTGGTGTGATCTTCCAGTGTTTAAGGGATCCTCCTGCTTTAGCCCCCCAAGTGGCTGGGACCACAGGCACGTGCCACCATGCCTGGCTAATTTTTTGTATTTTTTTTGTAGAGACTGGGTTTCACCATGTTGCCCGGGTTGGTCTTGAACTCCTGAGCTCAAGCGATCTGCCTGCCTAGGCATCCCAAAGTTCTGGGATTATAGGCCTGAGCCACCCTCCTTGCCTTTTCCAGTTAATCTTCTTCCCTCTAGAACAGCAACCACTGTTCTGATTATCCCCATACTAATAATTTTTATTTTATTTATTTATTTTGTGTGTGTGTGTGTGTGTGTGTGAGACGGAGTCTCACACTGTCACCAGGCTGGAGTGCAGTAATGCAATCTTGGCTCACTGCAACCTCCGCCTCCCGGATTCAAATGATTCTCCTGCTTCAGCCTCCCGAGTAGCTGGGACTACAGGCACCCGCCACCATGCCTGGCTGATTTTTTGTATTTTAGTAGAGACGGGGGGTGGTTTCACCATGTTGGCCAGGATGGTCTTGATCTCCTGACCTCATGATCCACCCTCCTCGGCCTCCCAAAGTGCTGGGATTATAGGCATGAGCCACCACAACTGGCCCAATTTTAATTTTTTAAATTGCAAATTTCATCACTACCATGCTGGTCATAATACTGCTATAAATCTTTAGAAGCTGTTAATGTATTTTCATTGTTCAAATTTCACCTACTTCTCTGGATCCCAGATTAACTGATTTTTTTTTAAGGCCACATCTGCGTGTTAATCTGCAGGTCTAGCTCATAGCCCCTTTGATGAATAGAAGGTATACTAACACAAATGTCATACATGAGTAGGTAGTATAAGTAACCTGGTATTTTAGAATACTATTGAATGATACTAAGCTACTTAAAAATTAATTCATAGAATCCTGACCCTTATATTTCCATGGCAAGTAACATGCATTATCTCAGGGGAGAGTGCCATTTTCAATTTACAGATGAGAAAATGATTCAACAACTAATTGACTTATACAAAAATCCCCTTACCATAACCAGTGGTGCCAGGACTAGATTTTTAATATTTTGCTCATTCCACTATCCTAGGCTGCATGTACACAAGGAAAGAGCCAACTTGTATTCCAAAAATTCAATTTCCTTGTTTCTTCTCTGAAAATTCACAGGTTACCCATTCTTTCCATCCTCTGGCATAGTGTTAAGCACTGAAAACATACATCAAATAGTGCTATAAACATTTTTTTTTTGAGATGGAGTCTCACTCTGTTGCCAGATCGGAGTGCAGTGGTGCGATCTCGGCTCACTGCAACCTCCGCTTCCCAGGTTCAAGCGATTCTCCTGCCTTAGCCTTCCAAGTAGCTGGGACTACAGGAGTGTGCCACCATGCCCAGCTAATTTTTGTATTTTTAGTAGTGACAGGGTTTCACCATGTTGGCCAGGGTGGTCTTGATCTCCTGACCTCGTGATCCACCTGCCTCGGCCTCCCAAAGTGCTGGGATTACAGGCGTGAGCCACCACGCCTGGCCGCTATTATCTCTAAATTGAGTAAGATGAAAAGAGGCTCTTAGTTTTGCTATCCTGCCTTTACTGACAGTAATTACAAGAAATTCTTAAATAGACATATAAAAATGTAATATATATGAAACATTGGATTATACATTTATCAATCCATTTTTTCATTCATCTACACACCTGTGAAAGCCCAGAGATATTGCTGTGTCCAGGGCCTTCTTGCTTCTCACTCCGGCTAAATAAGAAAACACTAGCTGTCAGATTTGGATGGTTTTACTTCATTGTACTTCTCTTTGAAGTCTCTTGGATTCATCTGTAGAGCTTCACCTACTTCATCCACTGAAAGAAAATGTTAAGAATTTCAGTTAGATTTTAGATATAGTAAATTATTTATATGTTTTTTAATAAATTAATTTAAGACACATGTCACTTACATGGTACATTGATAGACTCAGGGATTTTTTGATACTCCAGAATTTCCCATATCTCTCTAACATCAATTAACATAATATTTTTAGAATTCAACAGGTTTTTAAGTTCCTTATAAGTGACATCTTTAGAAATAGCAGTATAAAAATTGTGGCAGTTTCCCTTTATTGACGTCAAACCTGGAAAAAATAAACAATTTAGGCAACTTCAAAGTGATATCACTATTAACAGCTGGAAAGAATAGGTTAAAAGAATTTCCCCCTGGTTCCAGTCAGTTAACTATAGTTAATTTTTTTGCTTTAATAAACTATGTATTCTAGGTATGTATTTTGCACAGTGACATAATAAATACACATTTGGTCTCTGCTCCTGGTTCCTGATACAAAAGCTCCTAAAACCCTTATAATTTCCTGAGTGATGGGGGTGGGGGGGGTGCTAGGAGCATCTTTTGTTTTAATGAATTTCATTTTTTACTCCACTTCCTGACACAGAGCTCCCAAATCCCTTGGAATTTCCTGGGTGATAGATTCTTTTGTTCTAATGAAGTGACTCTTGGTGGGTTCATGGATAGCTTCAGGATGGGGGCTGGTCACCAGAAAGACCCAACTATGATTAGAAGCTTGGAACTCAGCCCCATTCTCATCCTCCAGGAGGTAAGAGCAGCTGGAGACTCAGTTAATAACTGATGACTACATGATGAAGTTTCCATAAATATCTCTGATGGGGTTCAGAGAGCTTCTGGTTGGTGAACACATTCAAGTGCTGGGAGGATAACACACCCCAACCCCATAGGGACAGAAGCTACTGTGCATGGGACCCTTCTAGACTTCCCACTAGGTACGTCTTCTTCTGGCTGTTTATCTGTATTTTTTATTATATTCTTTCAAATAAATCAATAAATTTGTTTCTCTGACTTCTTTGAGCAGTTCTAGCAAAGTATCAAACCCAAGGAAGGGGTTAAGAGAACCCCCGATTTACAGCTAGTTGGTCAGAAGAGTGGGAGGCCTGGACTTGTGACTGGCATCTGAGGTAGGGGCAGTCCTGTGGGACTGAACCCTTAGGCTCTGGGGTCTGTGCTAACTCTGGGTAGTTAGTTCAAAATAAAATTTTAGAACATCCAGTTAGTGTCCACAGAGAACTGGAGAATTACTTGGTTGTGGAAAACCCATACATCTGATGTCAAAAGTGTTGTGAGAGTACAGAAAAGAATTTTTCAGCCAGGCATGGTGGCTTATGCCTGTAATCCCAGCACTTTGGGAGGCTGAGGTAGGAGGATCTCTTCAGCCCGGGAGGTGGGGTTGCAGTGAACCAAGATCACATCACTGCACTCCAGCCTGGAGGATACAGTGAGAACCTGTCTCAAAAAAAAAAAAAAAAAAAAAAAAAGGCCAGGTGTGGTGGCTCACGCCTGTAATCCCAGCATTTTGGGAGGCCGAGGCGGGTGGATCGCCTGAGGTCAGGAGTTCAAGACCAGCCTGACCAACGTGGTGAAACCCCATCTCCACTAAAAATACAAAAATTAGGTGTGGTGGCAGGTGCCTGTAATCCCAGCTACTCGGGAGGCTGAGGCAGGAGAATTGCTTGAACCTAGGGGGCAGAGGTTGCAGTGAGCTGAGATCGTGCCATTGCACTCCAGCCTGGCAACAGAGCAAAACTCCATCTCAAAAGAAGAGAAAGGAGTTTTTCCATGTATGCATGTATCCTGACACTGAGCATCAGGATGCAGCCTGTGCTGCCCTGAATGTTTGATATGGGCCTTGTGTCAGTTCCATATTTTACTCTTTCCAAGCCCCTTAATTGGTGGGAGCTTGTAAATACATATTCAGCATCTGGTAAGTGAATTATGGAAATAATCTGTAAATCTTAATCCAAGTTACAATATTAAGAAAATTTTAATTTCATTTCCCCTTGCAAGCAAAGATATTAAGCCATAGATTAGATGTGGGGACCTTACATTTTATACTACACTTGTAAGTACTTAATGGCACTGTTTTTTGTTTTTTTGTTTTTTTTGAGATGGAGTCTGGCTCTGTCGCCAGGCTGGAATGCAATGGCGCAATCTTGGCTCACTGCAACCTCCGCCTCTTGGGTTCAAGCAATTCTCCTGCCTCAGCCTCCTGAGTAGCTGGGACTAGAGGTGCATGCCACCATGCCCAGCTAATTTTTGTATTTTTAGTAGAGACGGGGTTTCACCATGTTGGTCAGGATGGTCTCGATCTCTTGACCTCGTGATCCGCCTGCCTTAGCCTCCCAAAGTGCTGGGATTACAGGCGTGAGCCACTGCGCCCGGCCTGACACCGTTTCTATCTCTTAAATACAGTCGCCTTTTGGTATCTGAAGGGGATTGGTTCCAGTACTCCCTTGGATACCAAAGTCTGTGGATGCTCAAGTCCCTTATATATAATGGCATAGCATTTGCATATAACTTAGGCACATCTCCCGTGTACTTTAAATCATCTCATTTACATATAATCCTTAGTACAATGTAAATGCTATGTAAGTAATTGTTATACTGTATTTTTGGGTTTTTGTTGTTGTTGTATTGTTATTTTGGTTTTTTCCTGAATATTTTCTCTCTAGTTGACTTGAATCCTCTGGTGTCGAACCTGCAGATACAGAGTGCCAACATTTTGTTACATAATATGGTATCGTAATATAATATTGTAACATAATATGGTATTGGAACCCATAAAATAAAATAAATCCATGGGTCCATACTGGTAAAAGGATATAATTGAATAAATAAATGGGGAGAAGGGATTATCTTCCTTATATGGGAACTTCCAACTAATAAATATAGAAGGAATGATGGGAACAGAAAACCATTAAGCAAACACTCCAGTAATAATTGTTGCAGATAAAAACCATTGATGGATATAGATCTAGTGAGTGAAAGTGTGATGAGAAATGAGGTAATATCTTTCCATGAGATACTAATTACAAAGGGAGAAACCTGAAAGATACTACTTTAACCAGTTATTCAAAGATAACTTCACTAGTAATAAGACATGTTGATAACATATGCCTCCTGATATGAGGCCCTGAGAAGAGTGCACAATATCACTTCCTTAGTATTCTTGCAAAAAAAATTCATGTCCTGAATCTAATTAGAAGAAAACCTCAGACAAAAAATCTACAAAGTAACTAGTACCCTTTTTAAAAGTGTCAATGTCAAGAAAGATTAAAGGCTGTGGATTAGTTAATAGTA
Organism: Homo sapiens; assembly: GCF_000001405.40. Classification (NCBI taxonomy): domain Eukaryota; kingdom Metazoa; phylum Chordata; class Mammalia; order Primates; family Hominidae; genus Homo; species Homo sapiens. The sequence goes on along the minus strand of NC_000006.12, from coordinate 99,528,333 downwards.
TTATATCAATATTAATTTCCTGATTTCAGTAATTGCACTATGTAAGATGTTCATACTATGTGAAGTTGGTAAGCATAAAGGAAACTTTTACTTTTGCAACTTTTCTACAGGTCTAAAATCATTTTTTAAAAAAGAATATCCAAAAGATTTTTAAAATAACAAAAAAATTAATAATGTTCATATTTCACAACAAAATGACCACTATAAGAAAGGTAAATAAGGCCAGGTGCAGTGGCTCACGCCTGTAATCACAATACTTTGGGAGGCTGAGGTGGGAGGATCACCTGAGTCCAGGAGTTGGAGACAGCCTGGGCAACACAGTGAGACTCCATCTCTACTAAAAGTTTCTTAAAAAATTAGCCAGATATGATGGCACCTGCCTGTAGTCCCAGCTACTAGGGAAGCTGAGGCAGGATGATCGTTTGAGCCCACGAGGTGGAGGCTGCAGTAAGGCTGTGATGGCACCACTGCACTCCACCAGCCTAAGTGACAGAGTGAGACTTTGTCTCAAAAGAAAAAAAAAAAAAAGTAAAAAAGGTAAATTATACAGGTATGCTTCAAATTTTGTTTAAAGTATTAAATATAGTAAAATTGATTTAAGTAGTGTAGAGCTGGCATAAGAAAAGGTTTAAAAGTCTAAGTCCAGAAAAGAGACTTACAATATACTTTATATGAGAATTTAGTATCTGCTAACAGTGACATTGCAAATTAATAAGAAAATGACATTATATTTAATAAATAGGCCAACTAAGTACGGGAAAACACTAAACTAAGCAGGCTGTTACCCCACTCCTTATGCTTAAATTCCAAATATAAACCTAAAATCTAATTTTTTTTTTTTTGAGATGGAGTCTCGCTCTGTCGCTCAGGCTGGAGCGCAATGGTGCAATCTCAGCTCACTGCAAGCTGTGCCTCCCGGGTTCACGCCATTCTCCTGCATCAGCCTCCCGAGTAGCTGGGACTACAGGCGCCCGCCACCACACCCGGCTAATTTTATGTACTTTTAGTAGAGACGGGGTTTCATCGTGTTAGCCAGGATGGTCTTGATCTCCTGACCTTGTGATCCGCCCACCTGGGCCTCCCAAAGTGCTGGAATTACAGGCGTGAGCCACAGTGCCTGGCCCTAAAATCTAATATCTTAAAAGTACTCATAGAAAACATGAGTAGATAATTTAAGTCTTAGGATAGGAAGGCCATTCTAAACATGACAAAAACCAGAAATCATAAAGGTTTGATCTCATAAAAATGCTAAAGTTATATATGGAAAAAGAACAATGAACATTTTGAATACAAGTAACAGGTAGGAAGAAAATTCTTGTAACATAGAAAAAAAACAAAAGATTAGTGTTAATAAAATAGAGTTCATACAAATAACTAGGAAAAAGAAAAAAATCCCCATAGAAAAATGGTCAAAATATATGAACGTGGATTGACAGGAGAAATATAAATAGCCAATAAAGTGTGAAAAGGTGCCCGATCTCACTACTAATTAAGGAAATACAAGATATAAACAAAATTTTGTTATTTTGTCAGGTTTGTAAAAATTAAAAGAATTTATAATATCAAATATTGGTGAGGGAAAGAGGAAATGGGTACTTTCATACATTGCTGGTAGTGTATAATGTCACAAACTTTTGAAGGGAAATTTAGCTGTAATAACATTTTAAGTATGTATATCCTTTTTACCTCACAATTTTAGTTTTAGGAATCTATCCTACAGAAACCTTAGTATGAGTTAATACAGATGTATATATATGCAATTATGTTTGTGGGTAGCATTCTTTGTAACATTAGAAAACTACAATAAGCTGGAAGTTCATCAATAAGGCAACTGTTATAAGTGGTACATTTATACAATGGGATATGCATTATTTAATGTAAGTTGTCCAAAATAGTATTGAATTTAAAAAACTAGTTGTTGAACATTATGTATAAACCTAAGGTTCCCAAACTTTCTGGGTTTACAATGCTCTTAATGCCTTGGTAATTTTTTGCAGGGCTCATAGGCCAAAAGAAATAAACAGCAGTTCCATGTATTAAGTAGTTAAGAAAAGACAAAAGTAAGTTGCAAAAAAAGCGTATCTTCTTATGAAAAACAGACACTCTTTTGTTTTATTTCTTTTTTTTTTTAAGACTAGTCAAGTGCAGTAGTGAGAAGGAGGGAAAGAGTAGAACAAGTTCGATCTGTAACTGACTGGACAATCAATTGAGGTAACTCACTTACCTTCAGACCAGCCACACTTTTCTATTTTCATCTGTCATTTTCATGGCTAGGAAAGTAACATAAAAATGGACAAATAGCTATAAAGGTTTAAACGAACAGGTTTCCAGCTATTCCACTCCCATGTATATGCTCAAATGAAAACAGGGGCTCAAACAAATACTTGTACACTAATGCTTATATTTATTCACAATAACCAAAAGGTGGAAACAACCCAAGTGTTCATCAGCAGATTATGGATAAATAAAATGTGATGTATACATACAATGGAATATTAGTCATAAAAATGAAGTACTGACACGTGCTACAATATGGATACACCTTGAAAACATGCTGAGTGAAATAAGCCAGATGCAAAGGACAAATATTATATGATTCCATTTATATGAAATATATAGAACAGGCAAATTCATAGAAAGTAGGTTAGAGGTTGTCAGGAGGTGGGGGGAGGAGGAATGGGGAGTTTTTGTTTGGGGTGATGAAAATTTTTGCACTGAAATAAAAAGTGTTGATGGTTGCACAACACTGTGAATATAATTAATGCTACTGAATTGTACATTCAAAATAGTTAAAATCACATTTTATACATATTTTACCACAATAAACAAAACTTAAAAATAAAAATATAGGTTTCCTCACCCCCTTCAGATTTGAAAAGTTGATTCACTGTGTCTACAACATTAGATCTTAACCTGGAATCAAACTGTTTCTCATCCAGCTAGCTGTTTTCTGAATTCCCAGAATATAAAGAGCCAGCAGGCTGAATTAATGCTCATTACTGCTTCTCATTGTTAGGAACTAGAAAACTATGGTAATTTTATAATTTATGTTAAACTCAAGATTCTGGCTCTTAGCCACTGTGAAAGACAGTGACAGCAAGTAACTTCTTTAACTGGATCAAATAGTTATGTTTTTCTTGTAGTCATCTAACTGATATTTAACTTTCTATAATTCAATTATACTCCTATTGGGAGGTGGAGGATGGGGGAAATAACCAGTGAACACTGGAACCAGTGAACACTCGAACCAGTGAACACTCAGTGAGCAAAAGCCTGAAGTAAGCCTATTTGTTTGATGAGGCTCAGCTCCCCCAAGCCTCTCATGATATGAGCCTCTATTGCATACTAATTATTTAAAGCCAATAGTGTGTGTTTTTATGTACAGCATGTGCTCCACTTGCAAATCAACCACTTCATCTTGTGCTCAAAGAAACACTAATCTGTTCCTATATTGAAGAAAAACTGGCTATTTGGGATTTACTGAGAGATGATGTGTGGTTCTCTAGAGGGATTTTCAAGAGTAATACAGACTGCACCTGATTTTTACCTTTTCAGCCTAACCTTTGAATAACCTCCAGTTTTGTGGTTTCCACATTAGTAGACTTAACATCACCTGGATGTCACTGCAGCATTACATCACAGGATAGAATCCAAGCTCCTTAGTATGTTCCTTAATGCCTTTCAACAACCCCTTACCAGCACAGTTTACCAAACCCACTCCTCCTTTCATTTCTCCTCTTAGGCCCCAATTGCTCTATCCTCCAGCTACATCAAAAGTATATGTGTGCTCCTGGCGGGGCACAGTGGCTCACGCCTGTAATCCCAGAACTTTGGGAGGCCGAGGCAGGCGGATCATGAGGTCAGGAGTTCGAGACCAGCCTGACCAACATGGTGAAACTCCCGCCTCTACTGAAAATACAAAAATTAGCTGGGCGTGGTGGCACGTGCCTGTAATCCCAGCTACTCAGGAGGCTGAGACAGGAGAATCACTTGAACCCATGAGGCAGAGGTTGCAGTGAACGGAGATTGCGCCACTGCACTCCAGCCTGGGCAACAGAGCGAGACTCCATCTCAAAAAAAAAAAAAAAAAAAAGTATATGTGTGCTCTAAATACAGTTTTATAATGAAAAGAGAAGGGATTTTAGAGTCAGATAAACCTAGAGTCACATTCTGGCTTACCCACTTATCCCTGTAACCCTACAGAAATTACTTAAAATTTGTAGGACTTAGTTTCTTATTTGTAAAATAGGAATATTATTATCATTTAAACCTATGAGCTTTAAGTAAGGTAATGTATATACAGTGCAATCAATCAATATCTATTTCTGCCTTTCCTTCGTGATTTATACATACTGCCCATTCTGAAAGGAATACCTTTCTCCCTCATCTCTCCATGGAACACTCTTACTCTCCTTTAAGACCCAGTTAAATGTCCCTTGCCACCTCTCCTTTAATCTAACAATTTTGCATCTAGATATCTATTTTAGTAAAATATTTGTACAAATACACAAAGTGGTATGTACAATGATAATTACTGAACAACTTTATAATAGCAAAAAAATTGGAAATCAAAATGTTCATCAATAGGTGACTGGTGAAATGGTGGAATATATGCAGCAGTTAAGAGAGTTACATGTGCCGCCATGGAAGGCTTCTGAATACCTGAGAAAAAATTGCAGAAAAGTATGCACAGATCACATTTGTATATACAGTATTTTTATGTACTTTTATTTATGTATATTCATAGACAAGTGTTTAGAAGGATGTGTATCAAGCCATATCTGGGGAGAAGAGTGGGAAGAGGAGGATATATAAAGGAGCAATATGTTGTGTTTTGTTTTCATATGAGGATAGAATCATTTAATACTAGCATAATTTTTTTTTTTTTTTTGAGATGGAGTCTTGTTCTGTCACCCAGGCTGGGGTACAATAGTGCAATCTTGGCTCACTGCAACCTCCGCCTCCCAGGTTCAAGCAATTCTCCTGCCTCAGCCTCCCGAGTAACTGGGATTACAGGCATGTGCTACCATGCCTGGCTAATTTTTATATTTTTAGTAGAGGCAGGGTTTCACCATGTTGGCCAGGCTGGTCTCAAACTCCTGACATAAGGTGATCCACCCACCTTGGCCTCCCAAAGTGCTGGGATTACAGGCGTCAGCCACTGTGCCCAACCACTAGCGTAATTTTATATGTATATTTATTTATTTTGAGACAGGGTCTCGCTCTGGCGACCAGACTGAAGTGCAGTGGCATGATCTCCCAGGCTCAAGTAATCCTTCCACCTAAGCCTCCTTAGTAGCTGGGACTACAAGCGCTTGGCTGATTTTTGTATTACAGCATAATTTAAATGAAAAGATACCTTTTTCTAATATTTTCTAGAACTCAGAGTCAGTTGTTCTTTTCCATTGCAGTGTCACTTGACTGGGCTGTGTGTGGTGATTACTTGTGTCTGCCTTCCCTAGAAATGGGTGAACTGAGCTGCAGAGGCTGTATCCCCAGCAGGAAGCCCGGCAGTTTAGGAGCTTAATAAATGATTGATTTTTCATGTTTGAGACAAAGTCTTGCTCTGTGGCCCAGGCTGGAGTGCAGTGGTGCAATAATGACTCACTGTATCCTAGACCTCCCAGACTTAAGCAAGTCCTCCCACCTCAGCCTCACCGGTAGCCGGGACTACATGTGTGTGCTACCATGCTGGGTTTTTTTTTTTTCTTTTTTAGTAGAGATGGGGGTATCACTATGTTGCCCAGGCTGATCTCGAACCCCTGGGCTCAAGCAGTCCTCCTGCCTTGGCCTCCCAAAATGCTGAGATTATAGGCGTGAGCCACCACGCCAGTCCCAGAGCTCAATAAATGATTCTTTTTTTAAAAGACAGGGTCTCACTTTGTCACCCGGGCTGGAGTGCAGTGATGTGATCTTGGCTCACTGCAGTCTCGACCTCCTGGGCTCAAGTGATCCTCCTGCCTCAGCCCTCCAAGTAGCTGGGACTACAGGTGTGTGCCACCAAGAGCAGCTAATTTTTTCTACAGACAGAGTTTTGCCATGTTGGCCAGGCTGGTCTTGAACTTCTGACCTCAAAAAGCTCAGCCTCCCGGTGCTAGGATTACAGGCAAGAGCCACCGCGCCCCACCAAATGATTCTTGAATAAAGGTGAAAGGAAACACTCTGTGGCCAGGAGCAGTAGCTCACACCTGTAATTCCAACACTGTGGGAGGCCGAGGCAGGAGGATCACTTGAGGCCAGGAGTTCGAGACCAGCCTGAGAAACATAGCTAAAACCCCATCTCTACAAAAACAAAACAAACAAAATCAGCTGGGCCTGATGGCCTCCGCCTGTAGTCCTAGCTACGTGCAGACTGAGGGGAGGATCGCTTGAGCCAAGGAGTTTCAAGCTGCAGTGAGCTGTGATTGCAGCACTGCATTCCAGCCTGGGCGACAGAGCCAGACTCTGTTTCTTAAGAAAGAAAGAAAGAAAAAAAAGGAGAAAAGAAAAAAAATTTGCATAGAAAAGCACATCTTAAACTACAGAGGACTTACCAACAGTTAAAATAGGTAGGTGGGGCTGGGGGTAAGCTGTGTTAATGCTGGGTCCCTGTAGCTGCATCCACAGATAAAAGTTGGTGCTGGAGAGGCAGCATGCAAAGCGAAAAGAAGGGACTGCTTTGAGTTCTAGACCCAACGCCTCCGGTAACCACCTTCATTTCTCTGGCTTCTGCTGGCTCATCGGTAAAATGAGGGGTGGTATTTTTATAGTTCTAACACGTTATAGTTCTAGGTGGCTGTTTCATGAAGCGCCGAGCGCTGCTCTGTAGCGGGTCACAAATGTAACTCGCAAGGCTGGGCTCGGCATTACGACTCTCGCCGGCAGGGAGTGGCCATCTTGCTCGCTCCTCTGAGTCGCGAAATTGGCTTTCATGTATTGCTCAGTCAAGCACCACTACCAATATAAACGCCCTCCCATACGACCTCGCTGGAGCAATGTTTACCTCTGTCCCTGCGTCCCCAGAGCGCCCACAGGTTCGGGTAGCCCGAAATCTTCCCCAGGTGGGTGTTACATCCCCAGGTGCCAAGAGTGATGGGTCTGACTTTTAACTGGAAGTCTAAAGAAGCGAGCACCCCCACCAATGTTAACCCTTGCCTGAAGTCTAAGGTTAGGCGCTCTCCCTTTCCCCAGGGACCACCAAGCTCACCGCAGAGCGCAGCCTCCGCGGACCCGAGGACCGCCCTGCGCGCAGTCTCGAGCAGCAACCAGGGTAGCACCATTGCGGGCCGGCGGCCGCCGCGCTAGTGACCACTTCCTCCTACTCCTTCTCCTCCTGCTCCGGCCTCCTGGCGCCCTGCTCCAGGCTCTCCGGCGCCCTCCAGCCAGGCACCGGCCGAACCGGGTAGTGCCGCAAGGTGTAATTACTGCTTTGAAACTTTAAAGGCATTTGGAAAGAAACTACGGGTTATGCTTACTTTTTTTGTTTTTGATTATTATTTTGTAGGAGACACAAAGTTTAAAAATAGAAAGCAAAAAGTGTGACACATTTAAAGAGTTAAAGGAAATAAACGTTTCCAATTTACCTTATAACATGATTTTCATACACTGGATTTGTTTAAAACAGACTGACTACATGGATAACTTTTCTAGGAATTGTTCTTAACTCTGATAGCTGGCTCAACTGATGTAGGCATTAAAATAACGTCATATTACCATCTTTCCTCCACGAATTGATGATATTTGACTATAGCTTTGTCAGGGTTATGTCCAACTATTGTATAATATGTGTCAGTTTCCTATTGCTACCGTAACAAATTACCCCAAATTTACTGGCTTAAAACAACACAAGTTTACTATATACAATTCTGTAGATTAGAAGTCTCACTTGGCTAAAATCAAGGTGTCAGCAAGGCTGTGTTTCTTCTGAGCTCCAGAGTAGAATTTCTTGACTTGTCTTTTCTGTCTTGTAGTGGTTGCCTGCATTCCTTGGCTCTCATGGCCTCCTTCTCCATCTTCAAAGCCAACAGCTTTGAGCTTCAAATCCCTGATTCTGACTCCTGCTTCTGTTATCACAGCTCCTTCTCTTCCTCTGATTCTGCTGCCTCTCTTTTATAAGGACCTTTACATTCAGACCACAGAGATAATCCATGATAATCTTCTCATCTCAAGATACTTAATTTAATCACATCTTCGAAGTCCCTTTTGCCAGTTAAGGTAACACATTCACAAGTTTCAGGTTTGTAGAACATGAACATCTTTGGGGCAGGAGGTCATTATTAAAACTACCACATAAAGTTTCTCATTATCTTATTTTTTATTTATTCTCAGGTTGGTTCCCAAACATAATAAAAGCTATATTTAACTGCAAATAGATTTACAGTTAAAAATTAAAATATTTGACCAGGTGCTGTGGTTCCAACCTGTAGTCCCAGTTACCAGCAGGCTAAGGCAGGAGAGTCACCCGAACTCAGGAGTATGAGGCTATAGTGCACTGTGATCAGCCTGAGTGACTGAGTGAGACCCTATCTCAAAAAAAAAATTAAAATATTCATGTTTAAATGGCATTATTAAAGTGTATGTCCAAGGAATCATTTCATTAAGCATTTACTTTTAAATTCTTCAGTTATCAATAATTTAATAAGCTATAAACCATTTCAGATTTCTAGACCAATGACATCATTTATAATTATTTTCCAAATAATTTGGAGCTTAACCATAGTCTCCGTGTAATTTATTTTGTGGATTCACTTTTAACTAAGATATCACTATATACTGTAGATTCATGTAGTCTCTGTGGCATCCTCATTCTAAATATACATCATAAATCACAGGTAGTATGAACACAAGATAGGGAAACAATATACTTGGCCTCACTGAATAATATTTAATCTGATTTCTGCTTTTGCAGGAGAAGTATTACTAAACAATTATTCTTTTAGGGCTCATAACTAATTATTATTTAAAAAATATTTTTATGTAGGACTTTTTTTTCTGAGGAGATAAATATGCCTTTCCATATATAGCACACTGCTAAACTTAGTTTATTTAAGAGTCCTTGCAGCAAAAAGATCTTGTCAAAAGAGGTTCTTGATCATTGTTCCTAGTTATCTTGATCATTGTGTCCAAGTTATTCCATCATTGTTAAGGAATAATTTAAGCAAGACTTAAAATTGATAAAAGAGGGAGAAATAGTTTTCACTTTTCTGAGAAAGATTTACTAGTGCTGAGTTGATATGAATCATTAATTCTCAAACAACTAATTTAATTTTTTGTTGTTACTCATGTGTTAGTGAAAGGCTATTGGAAAGAAGACTTTTTTTCTTTTTTTTTTTTCTTTTCTTTTCTTCTTTTTTTTTCTTTTTGAGGCAGATTCTCACTCTGTTGCCCAGGCTGGAGTACAGTGACAAGATCTCGGCTCACTGCAACCTCTGGCTCCCGGGTTCAAGCGATTCTCCTGCCTCAGCCTCCCCAGTAGCCACCAAGCCTGGCTAATTTTTGTATTTTTAGTAGAGACGAGTTTTCACCATGTTGGCCAGGCTGGTCTTGAACTCCTGACCTCAAGTGATCCACCCGCCTCAGCCTCCCAAAGTGCTGGGATTACAGAAGTGAGCCACCACGCCCGGCAGAAGGAAGACAATTTTTAAGAGACTTGGGATTTTTCCCTTTTCTTTTTATTTTATTTTATTTTTGACCAATAAAGTCATTTCACACCCATTTCTTTTAAAATCAACTTTAAGTCCCCATATAACAGACTAATAAAATGAAAAATTAGGAAATGTATGGCCTTTCATGTGATTCTCTTTTTTTTAAAGAATTTTTATCAAAACTTTAAATGAACATCTGTTGACTCAGCATTTCCACAGTGAACAATTTACTGAGAATACTTGTGTTAGTAAGCAAAGACAAGTGTACACTAACAAGAAACTGATGAAAAAATAAAAACATTCATTCACAAGAGACTTAAGCAACTGCTCAAAAAAGTGAGGCTAATATGGCCCAGCACGGTGGCTCACGCCTGTAATCCCAGCACTTTGGGAGGCCGAGGCAGGCAGATCACCTGAGGTCAGGAGTTCAAGACCAGCCTGGTGAACATGGTGAAACCCCGTCTCTACTAAAAATACAAAAATTAGCCAAGTGTGGCAGCGCATGCCCGTTGCCCCAGCTACTCGGGAGGCTGAGGCAGGAGAATCGCTTGAACCCGGGAGGCAGAGGTTGCAGTGAGCCGAGATCATGCCACTGTACTCCAGCCTGGGTGACAGAGCAAGACTCTGTCTCAAAAAAAAAAAAAAAAAAATAGGTTAATATGAAAATATGTCTGACATATACTGTGAAGTGAAAAATTCAAGTCATAGAAGAGAATGTAGACTGTAATCTAAGCTGTGTTATCTTTTAGCATAAAGGTAGTCATATAAAAACATGGTACAAATGCCTGGTGTACGCACAAAGACAGTGCCTAAAACTATATATCAGAAAACAGCAAGCAGAGAAGAGGAAATGGGAGTGTGGGAAGGAGGGGAAGATGAGAAACCAGCAGGTATTACTTTTAAAATAAAGAGTGTATCTTAAAAATATATACTTGATATCTGGTTCAATTTGGTGTTTGATAAAAAGGAGCTGGGCTCGGTGGCTCACACCTTTAATCCCAGAACTTCGGGAGGCCAAGGCAGATGGATTGCTTGAGGTCAGGAGTTCAAGACCAGCCTGGCCAACATGGTGAAACCTTGTCTACTAAAATACAAAAAAAAAAAAAAAATTAGCTATGTGTGGTGGCAAGTGCCTATAATCCCAGCTACTAGGGAGGCTGAGGCAGGAGAATTGCTTGAACCCAGGAGGCAGAGGTTGCAGTGAACTGAGACCATGCCACTGCACTCCAGCCTGGACAACAGAGAGAGAATCCGTCTCAAAAAAAAACAAAAAAAGGAAAAAAATACACTTGATAGAAATATAAGAGGAATATATATAGCCTACAGCTTAACAAAGATTCCCCATATTTCCAAACAGAACATGATGGTAAATTTAAGATATTTAGCATTATTTGGAAAATACATGGTTAGGTAATCTTAAGGTAATCTATATTTTTATTTGATGTTTTGTTATAATGTCATTGTAATAGCACTAAAACATACTTACTGAGTAATATTTAAAAATAATTTCCTTTCTTTGAATAATCCATCAAGTAGTAAATTTTACATTCAATTAAGTGAAAAGGTAAATGAGGAACATCAGAAATAAAATAAAATAGTGTTAGAGAATTTTCCTTAATTTATGCCAAGTTTTGAAACAAAGAATGAAATCTCTGGAGATTTTGGTTATGCTAAGGGTCTATCTAGTGGAAATCAAGATAGCTTTGAATTTTGTCGTTTCCAAGAAAATTTAAGTATTGTATGGTATTTGATAATTTCTAATTTTTTTCTTATGAAGAAAAGAACCTAAATTTCCATAATCTAATTCAATCCCTTTTAAAAAATCAATCATAAACTGGGTTTCCACATATATTTTTTAAAATCTCTTTTACAGTGACACAATTAAGATGCAAATTATTTAGATTTGCTCAAGTTTGCTTGTTCTTGTTCTTCCAAGTTCTAGGTCAAATCCAAAGTTAAAATACATGAAAGCTTTTGATTTATGAAGTAGACAATTTTGCCTTCAAAATTACACCACATGACCTCTTCTTATTTGAGGAATATTTTCTTTTTCCCTAGGGAAAAAAATTATCCTAACCCCAAAATGATAGTGTACCTCTATACCTGTAACAGCAACTGGCATATCTGTGCTCAATTATGTTTGTTAAATGAATGGTCCTTGTTAAGTACGATATAAGCAAATATCAACCTTCTTTGCCAAGTTCTCCACATGTAAATACTGTTAGAAGAGTTTTTAAAGAAAAATTTAGTGTTTGCAATTTTAACTCTCGTATCTTCTGATTTCTACGCCAATGCTCTTATCCTTAAAGCCACATTTGTCCCTTGGCTGAAGAGTTGTGAAAGATCAGGAGACTTTTAGAACCTATCCATAACCAGTGTTGGCATTTGCAATATCCATGATTGAAACAAAATATTTTCAAACCAACTACTTTTACTAAACATGCAATGTGCTGGCCACTTCAACAGATAACCGGGCTTTGAGGAGGTATAGGTGTATTTCAAGAAATGTACTATCTAGCTAGGAAGAGAGAAGGATAGGTAAGACAACAGCAATGGGGGAAAAACCACAATAATATATGACGAATGTTAGATGTGACTTTAAGAGTTCAGGGGGCGGCGGGGGTGTGGGGGCGGAGCCGGGCGCGGTGGCTCAAGCCTGTGATCCCAGCACTTTGGGAGGCCGGGGCGGGCGGATCACAAGGTCAGGAGATCGAGACCATCCTGGCTAACACGGTGAAACCCCGTCTCTACTAAACAAAATACAAAAAATTAGCCGGGCGTGATGGCGGGCGCCTGTAGTCCCAGCTACTCGGGAGGCTAAGGCAGTAGAATGGCGTGAACCCGGTAGGCGGAGGTTGCAGTGAGCCGAGATCTTGCCATTGCACTGCAGCCTGGGCGACAGAGCGAGACTCCGTCTCAAAAAAAAAAAAAAAAAAAAAAGAGTTCAGAGGAGGGTAACGGAGGGAAATCGGAGGCTGTTTCAGAAGGTGCCCAGCAACAAGTGGGACTTAAGCCGGACTCCTGCAACATCCGAGGTGCGCACGCTGGCCCAGGATCCTAACAAATTGCTAGTCGGTGGCTATGAGTCTTAGATTATCAGGGACTCTCCGGGCTCTGCGGACACGCAGAACGCAGGCGCCACGCAAGCCGGCCCCGCCCTTTCACCCCTCCCCGCGCTCCCGGGCCCCGGGCGCGCCGCCTGGAACCCTCCCGGTCCTGGCTGGGGGCGGGCGAACGAGGCCCCACCTCTGCCGGGAGCGGGACGAGCGCGCAGGCGCAGTCTCCCCAGGTTGTAGACGCTGCGGCCCGGCCCGGCGGGGTGAGTTGAGAACGCGGCGCTTTGGTCGCAGCGGCGGTATGGTCGCCGCAGTTTCTCGGTCTTCGCTTCGGCGACCTTGACCCCCTTGTGGGTGGGCGAGGCTGGAAGAGAGGCTCCCCACCCCACTCGGCTTCCTGATCCCTGGGGGCGCCGGGCGGTCACCGAGGGCCGTGTGAGCGCCGCTCTGCCGGCTCCGGGTCCATGCGGCTGCGGGAGAAGCCCTGGGCGTCGGGGCTGGCCTGGGAGGGGCCCGAGTCCCCTGGTGACCTGGGCGCGCGGCGGCCCCACACCTTTCCGTCCGCCTCATCGCGGCGCATTTCTCTTCACATCCTCGGGGTGTGTGTGTGTTGGTGACCGGAGGAAGCCTGTCTAATGACTTTTCTGGAAGCGTCGTGTATTAGGAGCTCCGGGGCCGGACTGCTTGGGTCCGCATCTCCATCCACCGCTTACTGGCTTTGGGACCTCTGCAAGTCACTTCACTTCTCTTTCTCAGTTTCAAGTGTAAAATGCGGAAAATAATAGCAACTTATCTCCTAAGGTGGTTGTGAGGGTTGCGTGGGTTAATATTTGTGAAGTGCTTAGAACTGAGCGTGATACACAGCAAAACCATAAGTGCTGCTCATCTTTTTGAGCTTGGTATATAAAAGGAGATAGTGACCTTTTCTTCTCTTTCCAACCCCCATAAATAATTGCCCAAGAGTAGGAAAAAAGGATTTTTTTTTCTTAAGGATATGGGCTTTTTGCATAGCCTGTTTAAAAACAAAGCTTTCTAAACAACTTAGTTGCACATCCTACTTTAGAGAAAAGACAAGTGTTAAGTGATGGTGACTTGAAAACTGTAAAGTTTATTGTTTGGAAAACCGCATGAGAAAAATGGCCAGAACATATTTGTGCTAAAAAGAGTTAACATAGCAGGCCTTAAGACTGCTATCCTTAGAAAGGACTGCTTGCAATGTTGGTGCTTGTTTGGCATCTGGGAACTTAGATTTTTGGGTTTGTGCTGAACAGTATGTTTTATGCCGAAATTACCAGCTTCTGTAAAAATCCGGGACACCAAGTCTTTAATGGGCTTCCCTGCGCGGAAACTGCTGCATTTTCACTGATGGAGGAAGGATGTGTTTTGTTTGACCCCTCTTGGGAGGGAGACCGCATAAGGAGCCTACACGTGATTCCTCCAGACTCCGCTTGTGTCTTTTTCTATTATGATGAGCCTTTATATCCATACTGCATTGTGTAATAAATGTCAGCCATGAATTCAACTATATGTTGAGTCCCGTGCATCCTATCAAAGCTCTAAATGTGGGGGAGATCACGGAGATCCTCAGCCACAGTTTTGTAAATTTGTATAAAGGTAAGGGATATAAGTGCCGTTTTTTTACGAGGATATATTTCCTAGTGGTACTGGGCTTTTAGTGTAACCATCACCTGAATAATGTACATTGTGTCCATTAAGCAATTTCTCATTCCTCACCCCACTCCCATCCTTCCCAGTCTCCAGTGCCCAGACACAATTTTGATGATAAAAAGTATTGGAAGCTCTAATAATTGGACTTTTAATTTTGCCCTTTTGCCTCAAATGGAAATTGGAAAACTACAGATAAATAATTGCCGAATTCTGGGTTACTGTACCAAATGATTCTGTCTGTTTAGACATTACATATGGCAGAAAAATCATCAGAAATTGCCTCTACATTACCAAGTTAATTTTGAGTCAGTGTTTTTGAAAAAAGGCACAGGTTGCTTACAGTATGTAGGTCAAATGCCTGGTTTTGTTTATTATTTTGCTAGCATTATCTGTGTTAATGCTCATCTTTATCAAGAGCTTATCTGTACCACAGCGAGAAAATATAATCAGTTTCTCATAGGCCATTTTCCCTGTACTTTATTAGTTATACCTATCTCTTTTCAGGACATCAAATTTAAATTGATGGAGGTAGGTTTGCAAATTTGGGGTTAGAAAGATCAAATTTGCCGTCTGCTTATGTCTCTTTTCCCTTATAAAAGACTAGATCAGTTTTTGGTAAGTTAGTTGGGAGTTGGAGGGGTTAGAGGTTTGAGGAAAGTGAAGAAGATTTGAAATGGCTCTGTGGATAGTATGTAAGTTGACCAGAAGGTGAAGTGAATAATAATGGACCTAGTCTGCTTTCTTAAGAGACTTTCTCCCGACATGGAGAAAATGGTTAATTGGGTTCATCTAGGATTGGGTTCTGCGAGAGAGGTGATGTAGTCCTTAAGGCTCTGCACAAGTATTCCGGTTCACCTATTTTTGGGTACATGTAATGCTGCACTCTTTGTACATGGGCAACCCCTCTCCATGTCTGCTTGAAGTTAAATGTGCCATGTGACTTGCTTTAGGAAGCAGCTCTCCATTTGCCATTTCCACTTCTCCCTGCCCTGCTGTAAGGGTCATGGAAGGACTTGTTGAGATGCAGCCTCTTGTCAGCCTGGACACTATAGGAAAATATGAGTGGCTGATCAGGCAAGTTGGAAGAACTGGGAAGTTGCTGTCAGAGAAGGGGATACTTAAATTAGTGATTTTATAAGGTGGAACTGTAGGGGAGAGTAGATGAGGAAGTTTGGAGGGAGAAGGTAGAGATGAAGTGCTCAAGGAACTCAGAGGCTTTTTACATGTTCCTAACCCGGAAGCCCTTAATTTATTGCAACTTAGTTCAGTAGTGATGACCGTTGGACTTAATGGTAAACTTGAAAGCTCCCTTATTGTGAATTATGGAATGAATAAATCAAGATTTGGAATTTAGTACTGAATTGAAAGATTCATTACCTTGATCATTGAGAAGTAAGTCAGCAACCATGAAAATTGCGATGTTGCTTAGCCACCAGGCAGGAGAGTAAAAGGTAGGCCAAGCTACTCTAACAGAGACTCCAAAATATAGTAGTTTTAAAAAATGCTTAGCTTGTATCTAAAATCTTTGATAATTAACTGAATTTTTAATAAATATAAGGGATAGAGGTAAATAACACTATGAAGAAAGAGACAAATTCAGTGTGAGACATTATATAACTTTGCTGTCGAAAGAGTATTCTATGGGCCCCCAGCAGTGGCTTCAGTTAGAAGCTTTTTAGGTAGGTAGAATCTCAGGTCTTGTGCCAGACTTGTTGCATCAGAACTTTCATTTTAACAAGACCCTCAAGGTGACTCATGCACTGGCCTGATCTCTTTAAAAAGCTAAAGTCTTAGGCAAGTAACAGGTTGGAAGAACTGTTCTGTTAATAGATTAAAAGATACTAAAGAGACATAACCAATATCAAGTGCAAACCTTGATTGAATCTTTTTCAAAAAACCAGCTATAGAAGACAATTTAGGGTCAACTAAGGAAATTAGAATATGATGGAATATGAGATGATATTAGAAAATTATTAATTTTCTTAGATATGATTACATTGTTATATAGGAGAATGTGCTTATTTTTAAGAGATACATGCTGAAGTATTTAGGGATGAACTGTCAAGATCTCTACAACTTTCAAATAGTTCAACTATGTGTATATATATATATATATATATATATATATATATATATATATACACACACTCACATACATATATGTGTCTCTCTATACACACATATTGATATTTAGATAAAAACAAACATAGCTAATTGTTAATAGGTGTGGAATTGGTGGGGCACCATGGCTCATACCTGTAATCCCAGCAGTTTGGGAAGCCAAGGCATGTGGATTGCTTGAGCCCAGGAGTTCGAGACCAGCCTGGGCAACATGGGGAAATCCCATCTCTACTAAGAAATACAAAAAAATTATCTGGGCATTGTGGTGTGCACCTGTAGTCCTAGCTACTTGGGAGGCTGAGGTGGGCGTATCACCTGAGCCTGGGGAGGTTGAGGCTGCAGTGAGCTGAAATCAGGCCACTGCACTCCAGCCTGGGCCATCAGAGTGAGACTTTGTCTCAAAAAATAATAATAGCCGGGCACGGTGGCTCACGCCTGTAATCCCAGCACTTTGGGAGACTGAGGTGGGCGGATCACGAGGTCAGGAGATCGAGACCATTCTGACTAACACAGTGAAACCCTATCTCTACTAAAAATGCAAAAAAAATTAGCCAAGCCTGGTGGCACACGCCTGTAATCCCAGCTACTTGGGAGGCTGAGGCAGGAGAATTGCTTGAACCCAGGACGTGGAGGTTGCAGTGAGCCGAGATCCATCTCAAAATAATAATAATAATAATAATAGTAATAATAATATAAATGTGGAATCTAATTAGTATATGAGTGTTCATTATACTGTTCTTTTAACTTTTGTAGATGTTTAAAATTTTTCATGATAAAAAGCTAGAGTGAAAAACCCCCAAAAATGTAGTAGCTTAAAAAGATAGAAATTTAATTTTCTCTTAATATTCCAGTGCTAGTTGTACAACACAGGTATAGAGTGGCTTTACTATGCTTGGCTTACAGCTATCCATTTTTGATCCAGTATGGCTCATCCAGCTCCTACTATTTCCTTGCTAGCAGAAGGGAGGAAAGGGTAAAGAGAACTCATTATCCAGAAGCAATACTTACTCCGTTGATGAAAACTTTAGTTTTGGTCATTCACCTGGACATCATATATTTAGGGGTTGTGTCTTGGTTCAGCCTGGTATAGCAAATTATTATAGACTGGGTGGTTTAAACAACACAGACTTATTTCTCACAATACTGGGAGCTGGGAAGTACAGGGTCAAGATGCTGGCAAATCTAGTATCTGGTGAGGGCCTTCTTCCTGGTTTATAGATGGCCATCTTCTCGTATATCCTCATGTGGATACAAAGGTAGCTTTCTAGCCTCTTATTATAAGAGGCCAGTCTCATTCATGAGGGCTCCACCTACATGACCTAATTACCTCTCAAAGGCTTCACCTCCAAGTATCATCACTTTGGGGATTAGAGTTCAACATATCAATTTGGAGTGGGGACACAAACATTTAGTCCATAATGGTATAGTTGGCAAAAGCCAATGGAATATACCATGTGTATACTGATTTAACAAAGATTTATTTCATTTCAAGTGATGTTCCCCTCTTCTTCCTCTGTTGATTTCCCGGACCAGTTGAAATTGAAGTCATTTCAGTTTTAATACACATTAAATAAAATATAAAATTTTAATTTTGAAGACTAAAATGTATGAATTTTTTTCCCTCAATCCCTTCAGTAAATAACAGATGCGGGTGAAAGATCCAACTAAAGCTTTACCTGAGAAAGCCAAAAGAAGTAAAAGGCCTACTGTACCTCATGATGAAGACTCTTCAGATGATATTGCTGGTAAATTGTGATATATGGCATCCCAAATAGTGTTGAGAAGAAATAACAATGCAGTTGACCCTTCAACAACATGGGTTTGAACGCTGAGGATCAACTTGTACACAAATTTTTTTCCACCAAACCTAGATGGAAAATACACTATTCTTGGGATGCGTGAAAACTGCATACTTGGCAGGCTGACTTCTAAATGCAGATTCCACGGGGCCCACTGCGGGACTTGAGTATGCACAGATTTGGGTATATGTGGGGAGGTCCTAGAACCAACTACCCCACCCCACCTCCCTGCCTCAAGTATCTGAGGGAAGACTGTATATGTTTTTAATTAAGAAATCTGTTACTCTTTATTTTTACTGTTTTCTGCATAAATATTAGAATCACCTTTTCTAGTTCCAAAAAATCCTGTTGGCATTTTTATTAGGATTTTGTTTAGTTTATAACATGAAGTAACTTAGATTGGCTTTTTTTTTTTTTTTGGTCTCTTTCTCATGGCCTATTAAAACCATGTCACCAAGCCACCAGAGCTTGGCAGATGGCTTTTGGGAGCTGCTGGCCTCAGGGCTTGGTTTTCTCTTTAGCCTCATGCTTTTGATTTGGGCCTCTGAGGATTTTCCTCACTTTCTTGCTAGTTCTCTCCATTTAAAGGGATATTTTTAATATATTTTTTCCATTTTAGGTATGCATAGTTGCATACAGCTATACACAAACACACTCACATATGAGTGCCTATGTCTTCTGAAATCCGAATAAGTTCTAAGGATTGTACCAACGTCAGCTTCCTGGTTTTGATATTTTACTATAGCAGTGCAAAACATTAACATCAGGGGAGGCTCAGTGAAGGGTGAATGAGACCTCCTTGTATATTTCTTTATACCTTCCTGTGAATCTAAAATTAGTTCAAAAATTTAAACTCTAATAAATTAGGGACATCAGATAAGGTCCTAATGATATTTAAAGAGATAATTCAGACATCCTTCAGTGCAGCAAACTGGCTATCGAAACATCATCCCATTTTAGTACATGTATAGCTTTGTATAACCACCACCAATCAAGATACTTGACTGTGTCATCACCACTCTATGTGCTGTCCATTTATAGCAACACCCTCTGCCTTGCGTCCATTGCTCCCTACAACCATGAATCTCTTCTCATTCTATAATTATGTTATTTCATGAACATTATATAAATGGAATTATATAGCATATATCTTTTGAGTTATTTTGTGTGTTCAATCTCTGTGCTTTTTAGTTAACAGCATTTAATACTTTTGAGGTTTGCTCAGTAATGGTAGCACTTTGGTGTAGCAAAGAAAATGTTGAGATTTTGTTTTATCTTATTCAGTAGGTTTAACTTGCCAACATGTAAGTCATGCTATCAGCGTGAATCATGTAAAGAGAGCAATAGCTGAGAATCTGTGGTCAGTTTGCTCAGAATGTTTAAAAGAAAGAAGATTCTATGATGGGCAGCTAGTACTTACTTCTGATATTTGGTTGTGCCTCAAGTGTGGCTTCCAGGTAAGAAAAGTATTATTTATATGTGAGTTTGTCTGAAATGTTTTCCTTAAATGCTTATTGTGAGTTGGACTGTTGGTCATGCATAGGAGTTAAGATAAATTTATTCCAATTTAGATAGAAATTTTCCAGGAATGAACTTAAAAATGATTGTTAAGGTAAAGTAAAAGGTATGCTATGTTCAGAAAGTAATCAGGTGTGGTTTATAAATACTTGCAGAGGTAATTCAACCTATTTGCAGTAGTTCCCATATCTGGACCAGTCTTTACCTTTTGTATTTACTTAGGAAATGGATCTACCTTTCAGATTAATTTTTTTCTCTCTCAAAACAGATTATTCTGCTGCTTTTGCAAAGTAATTTAAAATCTTAAAGTTTAAAAGTTATTGATATCTGTAATAAAGGAATTTTTTTAATGAAATTAAAAGTATATACTTTTTTAAAAAAATAAGAGAAATCTTTATTATTTCACACAAAATGTCCAGAAGTAAGGCCACTTCAGGATTAGTTAATTTAATGGAAAGAACATTAAAAACTGAGGTTTATTCTGTTTTCTGCTGTGCCATCCTCAACCTCATGGTTGTGTTCCTCTTAAAAAACAAACAAAAAAAAAGCCTTCTGGAAAGATTCAGCGGATTTGACTTCCCCTCATGTTGCATTAACCAGAATTGCATCTCATTTCTTTACTTACCTAGTGAGGGAAATCGCTATGATTGGTCTGTGTCTCAGTAGTTCTCAGTAGGCTGGGGTGAAGTTGTGTACGGGATTGGGAAATGTGTGTTTGCAGAAGGGCACCACTGGCCTGCCAGGATGCTGGGTGTTCCACAGTGTGCACATTTTTAAATGATAGGGAAATTAACTTTGCCCATGATTGTTTTAGGTAAATACTGTATATTGAGCATGTTAGCCTGTTGGCAAGAAATTAAATTTAATGAGAATCCATATTACTTTTTTGAAACTTTCTCCTCTGGCCTGAAATTAAAAACAAAACTTTTCAGTATAAGTGTGAGTATAATTTAAGTTTTGATTAATTTGAAACAAACATTTGTAAGTCATACAAAATAAAATTCTGTTCATCTTCAGGGATGTGGTAAAAACTCAGAAAGCCAACATTCATTGAAGCACTTTAAGAGTTCCAGAACAGAGCCCCATTGTATTATAATTAATCTGAGCACATGGATTATATGGTAAGTTAAATTTTGTTAGTTCTTGTGTCCACTAACCACAGCCCCCCAATTTTTTTTTTTCTTTAAGCTTTTAAGGTAAAATATTTAAAGATGTTCTATCAGCTTATGGTTTTTTAACCTGAACACAATCTATGGGATACTTCAAGAAAATTAATATTACCTGTGAATATAAAATTTAAATTGGAAAAATTTTAACTATCTCTCTACTTTTTGTTGTTGTTGAGACAGAGTCTCACTCTGTCGCCAAGGCTGGAGTGCAGTGGCGTGATCTCAGCTCCCTGCAATCTCTGCCTCGTGGGTTGAAGCAATTCTCCTGCCTCAGCCTCCTGAGTAGCTGGGACCACAGGCGCATGCCGCCATGCCTGCCTAATTTTATGTATTTTAGTAGAGACAGGGTTTCACCATGTTGCCCAGGCTGGTCTTTGAACTCCTGAGCTCAGGCAATATGCCCTCCTTGGCCTCCCCAAGTGCTAGGATTACAGGCGTGAGCCACTGCGCCCAGCCTTTCTACTTTTCTCTATCATTTTCCTTGTATAATGTAAAGAAAAATTCTTTTTAGTTGATTTTTTTGGTAGTGAACTTGCTAATACAGAATTCTAGTGTTGTAGAGAAGGAAGATACTTCAAGCAGTCAGGTCATTTTCTGAAGGGAGAGGGAAGAGCTGGGCATAAGTAGCTTGTAAAAACTTTTCAGGTCATTCTGCTGTTTAATCCTGGTTGAGAATCTAGTCCAGTTTCCTATGTTACCTGTAAGGAAACTATGTAATATTTACCTTTTTGTGGTTATGAAGTAAAAATCCAGGTACTAAAACAAGTTTTTTGTGGGGCGTGATGGCTCACACCTGTAATTCCAGCACTTAGGGAGGCTGAGGTGGGCGGATCACTTGAGGTCAGCAGTTTGAGACCAGCCTGGCCAATATGGTGAAACCCCGTCTCTACGAAAGATACAAAAATTAGCTGGGCATGGTGGCGCACGCCTGTAGTCCCAGCTGCTCAGGAGGTTGAGGCAGGAGAATCGCTTGAACCTGGGAGATGGAGGTTGCCACTGCACTCCAGCCTGGGTGATAGAGTGACACTCCGTTTCAAAAAAACCAAAAACAAGTTTTTTTATTTTCTAGTTTCTTATTAGCATATCACACTGTTTTGGTAGTATAAATGGACACTATGTTGAAATGCTTCCTCTGTGTTTTACAATAATTTTCCAACTTGAATCTATGGACTCCTAAGGGTTCCTTGAATGAATTTTCAGGAGTCTCAGATTTTCTTTAACATAAAAATATTTTGTCTAAAATTAATATAAGGGTATTTTGGCTCACAGAAGAGGTCATCATCTTTAATACAGCCAGAAGGGTTGGGCACCAGCTGCATTTGTGTTTTTATTTGTTGTTGTGAGTCCCAAGTAGTAGTACTGGGGAGAATGACGAAAGAACAGAGGGAACTTAATATATAAATGATGCATTGGAACCAATGGAGACAGCAATGGTGCCATAGTGTGGCAGTTCAATAAGGATTTCACTTTAGTGGTCTCAAACTCTAGGTGCATCAGAATCTCAGGGAGATCTTGTTATGACAGATTGCAGGATCCCAGTCTTAGAAATTCTAATTTAGTAGTTCTGGGGTGGAGGAGCCAGAGAATTTGCATTTAACAAGCTCCCAAGTGTTGCCAGTGCTGCTGGTCTGTAGACCACAGTTTAAGAATTACTGAATTAGAAAAAGGTGGGTAAGAAGATTGTGAACATGTAATGTAGCATTGGTGTAATGCATTATGTTTTTTTTTTTTTTTTTTTTGAGATGGAATCTCACTCTGTCACCCAGGCTGGAGTGCAGTGGCGTGATCTCGGCTCACTGCAACCTCTGCCTCCTGGGCTGGGAGTAGCTGGAATTACAGGTGCCCGCCACCACGCCCTGCTAATTTTTGTATTTTTAGTAGAGTTGGTATTTCACCATATTGGCCAGGCCAGTCTCGAACTCCCAACCTCAAGTGATCCTCCCGCCTTGGCCTCCCAAACTGCTGGGATTACAGTTGTGAGCCACTACACCCGGCCATAATGCATTACATTTATAAAACACTTTGAACACTTTCCAACACATGTTCTTAAATGATCACTGGATCTCATGAGGATAAAGGAAACAGGTAATTATAATATACAGAAGAAACAAATTAATACGATGTATTAATGAGTAAACTTAATTGAGGGTAGTTTTCTGAATTGGAATGTGCTTTTGAAAATGTCTTTCCTAACCCTCTGCCTCCAAATAAGCGCCAAGCAAAATAGAACAGCTATTTCTTTGAGTCTTACCTATCTCTATATGTAATCAAGCTAGAAGCCTGGCAGTTATTTCCTTCCCCCTTTTTATCTTATTTTATTTTTTAGCCTGTTAACAAAAGTAGACAGAGTGGTATAATGAATTTACCTATACCCATCAACCAGCTTCAGTTGTTGTTGTTGTTGTTTTTCCAGCTTTAAACATTATCAACTCACAGCAAGTCTTGTTTCGTCTAGGCCAGGATTTCTCAATCTCAATACTATTGGCATTTGGACTGTTAATGTTCTGTGATTAATTCCTTGCTGTGCTGTTCTGTACGTTGTTGGATGTTTACCAGCATCCCTGGCCTCTACCCACTTAAATACAAGTAGTGGTCCTCTCACCTCTCACCAGTTGTCAGAACCAAAACTGTCAAATGTCCCCTAGGTGGCAAAATCACTCCTCATTGAGAATATCAGTGATTCTCAACAACATTGAGAATCGCTGACATTGTCTCACTCACTTCTCCCTACCCATGGCAGTTATTTTGACACTTCCCTTTCCCTCCTCTTTTATATCTAATTTGTTACTGTTTCTACCTGCAAATATGTATATAAAGAATGCCCATTTCTCTCCAGATCCTCTGCTACTATACTAATCTGTTTCTCTTCCTAATGCCCTCCAATCCCTCCAATCTAGTTTATCACATTAGTGAGAGTGATGTTTTTAAAGTGTAAGTTGGGGCTGGGTGTGGTAGCTCACACCGGTAATCCCAATACTTTGGGAGGCCGAGGCGGGTGGATCACTTGAGGTCAGGCATTCGAGACCAGTCTGACCAACATGGTGAAACCCCATCTCTAATAAAAATACAAAAATTAGCTGGGCGTAGTGGTGCATGCCTGTAATCCCAGCTACTGGGTGGCTGAGGCAGGAGAGTCACTTGAACCCTGGAGGCAGAGGCTGCAGTGAGCTGAGATTGCACAGCTGCACTCCAGCCTGGGAAACAGAGCGAGACTCTGTCTCAAAAATAAAAAATAAATAAAGTGTAAGTTGGACCATATCATGGCCCTGCTTAAAAACCCTCTCGTGGCATTTCATTATACCTAAGATAAACTGCCAAAACTTTCATTTCAACTGTAAGTCTCTGTATGAATTGTCCTCTGCTTATTTCTCTAGACTTACCTGGTGGCTTCCCCTTTGTATTCCCTCCCATGTAATTTAAAGACAAAAGTAACTAAATACCAACTTTGTTATCTGATGTGCAAAATTATTGAGAATATTTTCATAATATTTTCTTAAATTTTATACTTTTTCAGGTGTTATGAATGTGATGAAAAATTATCAACGCATTGTAATAAGAAGGTTTTGGCTCAGATAGTTGATTTTCTCCAGAAACATGCTTCTAAAACACAAACAAGTAAGTTAAGCGATGACTAAAGGAATCTGTGTTAAAATACAGTATTTCATATAGAGTTCATAAATTCATAAAGAATACTTTAGATTTTACTGTGACAGCCCAGCCAATAATTTGAATAAAGATATTATGAGTATCGGCTGGGTGCAGTGGCTCATGCCTGTAATCCCAGCATTTTGGGAGGCCAAGGTGGGTGGATCATGAGGTCAAGGGTTTGAGAGCAGCCTGGCCAACATGGTGAAACCCCGTCTCTACTAAGAATACAAAAATTAGCCGGGTACGGTAGCACATGCCTGTAATCCCAGCTACTCGGGAGGCTGAGACAGGAGAATCGCTTGAACCTGGGAGGGGAGGCGGAGGTTGCAGTGAGCCAAGAACATGCCACTGCACTCCAGTCTAGGCAACAGAGCAAGACCCCGTCTCAAGAAAAAAAAAAAAAAATTATGAGTATCATGCATTCTTAGGTGGCCACCTTGTTATACGTTTATATAACCAATTTGAGAAACTGAAGTATGTCGTGTCTAGACCATGGGCTTTGAAGTCAGTCCTGATAAGTTTGAATTTAGGCTTCCCCACTTACTGGCCATGGTCACTTTTATTGCTTAGTTTACTTATTTATAAAATTAGGATGATAATTCTGTCTTATGGAGTTACTGTGAGGCCTAGAGATAATATTTTCTAAAGATTTAGCAATAGTGCATGTAAAAATACTTGCATAGTACCTGTATTAGTCTTTTCTTGTATTTCTATAAATACCCGAGATTGGGTAATTTATAAAGAAAAGAGGTTTAATTGGCTCACAGTTCCACATGTTGTGCAGGAAGCCTGCTGCTGTCATCAGCTCAGCTTCTGGGGAGGCCTCAGGAAACT
The DNA here is from genome assembly GCF_000001405.40 of Homo sapiens. Lineage (NCBI taxonomy): Eukaryota > Metazoa > Chordata > Mammalia > Primates > Hominidae > Homo > Homo sapiens. Next base: position 99,502,897 of record NC_000006.12, on the reverse strand, counting down.
TTCAATCATGGTGGAAGGTGAAGGGGAAGCAGGCACGTCTTACATGGTGGAACAGGAGGAAAAGATAGACGAGGAGGTAGTACACACTTTTGAACAACTAGATCTTGTGAGAACACACTGACTATCATGAGAACAGCACCAAAGTGATGGAGCTAAACCATTCGTGAGAAGCCCACTCCCATGATCCAGTCACTTCCCATCAGGCCCCTCCTCCAACATTGGCGATTACAACTCGACATGAGATTTGGGTGTGGACACAGATCCAAACCATATCAGTACTTGACACATATGTATGAAATGGTGTCTGTTATTTGTTACATAATTGCAGTGTAGTTCTGACACTAACTACTGGGAGTTAGGCCAGACTTCACAGGCTAAGGGCACAGTTGCCCACAGGACTGCCCTCACATCAGAAACTAGCTGCAGGCTTGAGGGTTCCTAGACCACTGAATTTCTGACCAACTGTCCACAAATTTGGGGGTTCCTACCATTTCTTCAGGTTCAGTGATAATTTGCTAGAATGAGTCAGAGAACTCAGGAAAGTGCTGTACTAACAATTATAGTTTTAATATAGCAAAAAAGGATACAAAACAGCCAAAGGAAGAGATGCATAGGGCAAAGTCTGGGGAGGGTCCCAAATGTGAAGCTTCTGTGTCCACTCCAGAGGGAATGAGGATGCATTCTCCTCACTCTCCCCAGCCCATGCATTCGTGTGCACTAATATACACAAGAGTATTGGTAACCAAGGAAGCTCACTGGAGTTTTGGTGTGGAGAGTTTTATTGGGATTTCATTGTGTAGGCATGATTGATTGAATCATTGGCCATATTGATTTAACTCAGTCTCTAGGCCCCCAACATTCTAATCACATGGTTGGTCTTTCTGGCAGGGCCAGGCCCCATCCTGATTCATCTCTTCAGCATAAACTGTCTAGGGGCCCACAGTGAGTCAGTTTGTTGATATAAACTGTCAAATGTGGCCTGAGGGACCCATCATGAATAACAGACACTCTTGTCGCTCTGGAAATTCCGAGGATTTAGAGGGTACTTCCCAGGAACCTGGGGAGAAAAGCCAGCCAGATCCTTTATTATATAACAGTAATGTATTATGTATTTTGTTATTGTATACTTTGTTACCTAACAAATAAATAATACATAACGTATGTTAAGAGTGTATAGGATAATAGTTTCTTCCTCCAAAAATAGTAAGTGCTTCCCACATGCCAGGTATTAAATTTTATTTGGTCTGTAGTATTAGAGTAAAACAAAAATAGTTTTATCTTGCCCTCTAGGCGTTAGATTATAGTGGGAGCAACAAGCAAAAAATGCAAATATATAATGACTTCTGGTAAGTGCTACAAAAGAAAGGAACAGATTGCCGTGCTGGCTAATAATATAGTAGTCACAGTGATCAAGAAAGGCTAATATTGCAGAAACGTGGTTTGTTAGGAGAGAGTGCAAAGAGATGAAGTTACGAGGTAGATGAGCTGGTCATGACAGATACTGTAATGAACTCCATGGTAAGGAATTTTTATTTTTTTGGAAGTGTAATAGAAATTACTAAAGTATTTTAAGCAGGGGGGTATCACGGTAATTTCATATTTTTTTAAAAAAATAAAGATAAGTGATTGCTATGTGGCACACAGATTGTAGGGAGTTAAGCATGGGGGTGGGGAGATCATGAAGAGGGTTAAGGAGGTGATTGTGGGGGGGCAGGTGAGAGGCTGATAGATACTCATGGGGAGTGAGTGGATTACATGTAGTGAGGGAGGGAGAGTGGGAGGAATTAAGTATTAATACAAACCTCAGGATTTTTACTGAACAGCTAGGTGAATGGACGTGATAATTTTGAGTTGCCTTTGAAGCAGAATTGAATTGCTTAGTAGGTGGCATCAGAAACTGAAAAGCTATATAAAAATATAGTTGCCAACTGTGTTTTCTATAGCCCAGTGTACAGCTGTTTTTGTTAGCCATCACCCTAATGAGACAGTAATGGTGAAGGAACTGGAGGAGGAACCAGAGAAGGTAAACTCAGGCTCCTGGACAGCAGTAGAAGTGATTCATTTGATCACTTATCATTTACTTATTCAACAAACATTTATTGAATTCTGTTCTGCAGCAGGCATACTAGTCGTAGCTCCAATTCTGCTCAAATAAAGAACCAGGAAAATATGGTGGTGAAAGACTTGTAACACTACTGGAACTGAAGTTGGTCATAATTCTGTCTGCTGAAAAATGAGCATTAAGTTTCATTGGCCATAATAAGAAGATAGGCAGGGATATGATGGCATGGGTGATGAAAGTACAAGTTTAGAAATTATTTTCTCTGGATTTTTTTTTTACCTTAGAGATTCCCTAAGGTTAAGTACAAAGCCAGTCTGATTTTCATTCAATTTTACTGATTTCTTGAATAAGTATTATAAGAAAGATGCTAGGAAGGGAGCATGGACGGTATGATGGAAAGTACATGGCTTTGAGGTTGGGCACGGTGGCTCAGGCCTTAAACCCAGCACTTTGGGAGCCCAAGTCGGGCAGATCACTTGAGGCCAGGAATCGAGACCAGCCTGGCCAACATGGTGAAACCCCAACTCTACTAAAAATACAAAAATTAGCTGAGCATAGTGGCACATTCCTGTAACGCCAGCTACTCAGGAGGCTGAGGCATGAGAATTGTTTGAACCCGGGAGGCGGAGGCTGCAGTAAGCCGAGATCACACCACTGCATGCCAGCCTGGGCGACAGAGTGAGACTGTCTCAAAAAAAAGAAAAAAAGACAGTAGATGGCTTTGAGTCAGGGGGTCTGGTGTTCAGATTTGACTCTGTCACTAGGTGTGTGACCCCAGGCAGTAATCTGTTTATGCAAGCCTCATTTTTCCTTAGTACTTTATATTTCCAAGGTGCTTCAGGGAATAGAGATTGATAAGACAGTCACTAAATCTTTAAGAGGCTAAAGATCTGAAAGAAGGTGTAAGATTAAACAGTAATGATATGCAAGTAGAGTAAGATTTCTGTTTTAGGTAACAACCAAAGTCCTTCAAATATCCAAAGAGGGATATAATGTTCAGTTGTAGGAACTAAAAAGGAATCATGGATGAGCCGGCTTTCAAGCTGACCCTTAAAGGATGAACTTTGGGCAGGTGAAGATGAGAGAAGAAATCATTTCAGGTGGTGGGAAGCACTAATATAAGCCTTAATTGTGTTTATGGAACCGTGAATAGCACCTGGAGTGGTGGGGCACGGGCTTTTGAGGTAGTTTGAGAGGGAGTGGAGCTTTCAAAGTTTGAGAGATACATAGTTGTTAGTTTAAGGCTTTTGGCAGTTCTAGGGCAAGATGTCATTATCCCTGTGGGTCAAGCTACAGGATCTCTCAGGCAAGTTTGATTTAAAATAATATTCCTTGGCATTCTAGAATAAGTTTTTGGATATAATAGTTTGCCATATTGTGCCTTGTATGCGGCTTCCGTATATTTTTATAAAATATTTGGAAAATCAAATATGAAAGTTTTTATTGAGGTTTGTAAGAATGCCGGATATGATTTTGCACTAAATGGTAATCGTGAAACATTGTGAAAACACCTATTTATGATAAAAGGAATATGAAACTGTATTATTGTGTTTGGGTGAGAGGATAAGTATGATTTTAAAAGGTTATTTTTATATTTTTGTACTAAGTAAAAATAGTTATTGAGAAGAAAGCCTGTGCCTGTATGTTAAACACATTTTGAAGTTATGCATGACCAGAAATTTTCTTTCTCTTTAAAGCATGTCATTAATTCTTTTGTTTCTTTATTCCTTTACTTTTAGGCATCACTATCCTAAAATCATATAGTATATGGGTGGCTCACTCCTGTAATCAGAGCACTTTGGGAGGCTGAGGCAGGCAGATCACTTGAGTCCAGGAGTTTGAGACCATCCTGGGCAACACAACGAGACTTGGCTCTAAAAATAAAAATGAAATAAATACTATGCCATGTTAACACAAATAACATTTGTAGAAAAGATAACTTTCAAAACAAAAATATAATGAGTGGCACTGTCTTGCATTTTTATAAGACTCTTAAGTGTCTGGCTTAGTAGAAAACAGCTGGATTCTCATATCTGCTTCTGCATTTAATCCTTTGTGATATCACATGCCATATGGCCTCTGGAGAACGGCATTGTATAATTGAGAGTGAATGAAAGTAAAAAAAGCAAATAAAATCTTAGGCTTATTATGAAAATACTTTTGACCTTAAGTACCCTTGAAAGAAGGAAGTTGTCTTCTGACCCACTTTGAGAAGTGCTGAACTGTAGCACATTTGTCTTTATATTTTCTGTCTTCAGCCTTACTTATCCATTAAGGCTCAGCTCAAATCCTACTTCTAGGATGCTTTCCCAATCCTTATCTCTTTTTTGGCACTCAGTGTCTGTGCAGCACACTTTAGAATCTAATAACACACTTTTTTGATGTTTCATATTTATGTTTGTACATGTCTTATTTTCTCTCAAGACTGTAGGTTCCTTAAGACTGGACTCTGGATTATATTCTTTTTGATTTTTATGTGGGTAGACAGTAAATACTTGCTGAATAAACCAAATAGAATGTGACCAGTTTTTGTTGAGGAAGTAGATAGATAAGCTTTGCACTTTCACCCTCCAAAATCCTAAATATTAATATCAAAATTATTTATTCAGTCTTTTAATATCTCTGAGTTTCTGCTTTGTACCAGATGCTGCATTAGATGTTGGAGATGCAGTAGTGAATGAGACAGATCTACTTCTAGTTCCTGTCATTACTGATCTTTTGGTCTATTGAGGGATATAGACAAATTGCACTTAGTTATACTTGCCTGTTTAAATAGTGCTGTGATGGAGCAAGTACGAGGGACCGTGAGAACAATTTGGAATAGTACCTAACATTCGACTGGAGGAGTCAGGCCAATTCTATTTAGAAGAATAATCCGACTTAGTTGGAAGCAGAAGAATATCTAGAAATTATCTGGGCAAAAAGGGAACAGATTGTGTGTTCCAGGCAAAGAAAATAGCTCATTGACGAGAGCTCGATAGGTTCAGGCAAGTCTAGACAGCTGAAAAGTTGAGTTTTGTGGTGTAGAAGATGGTGAGAGGTGAGACTTGAGGTAAGTAAGAACAGATATTTAAGGGCCTTGTACAGATAGAATTTGTTCTGAGGGCAGTGAGGAACCACTGTTAAGTTTTAAGCAGAGAAGTGGCTGATCAGTGATTTTGTAGATCTCAGTTTGACTTGTATGGAGACAGATAGGAATGCCTATATATGTATAACTGCCCATTTATTATGTTAATATCAATTTATCATATGACTAAGTAAAGATTTCTAAGGCATAATGGTTAACTGGAAGTTAGTCGATTTTGAGAGTAAACTGGCAAGCTAATTATTATTTGGTTCCAAGCTAGGGGAATTGTGGGGCACCAAGTTGTCTCTTTTTACTCACTCTTTAAATATTAAACTTCTTTTCAGCTGTAGAAATGGGCAGATTACATTAATACTACATGACTGGTTTAGGTAATTGCATTAAGCAGTTGAGATGAACCCCAGCTCAGGTTCCCAGAAGAATGCTTACAGCTGTGTAGATTTCACATCTGATGTTAGGATTTGCTTATAGAAACAAAACTCCCTCTACCTCCCCCTTCCCCATACATGGAATAAAAAGGTCATATATAATGCAAGACTGAAAATGGGCAAATAAGCATTTTTGTGAGTCCCACCCAGAAATAGGTATTGTTAAAAAGTAGACCAGAAAACTGGAGACAGTAAAAAAAAAATCAGTGGTTGAAAGGGGTTGAGGGGAAGAAGGGGTGAATAGGCAAAGCACAGAGAATTTTTTAGGGCAATAAAACTACTCTGTATGATACTATAATGCTGGATCCATGTCATTCTGCATCTGTCCAAATCCATAGAATGTACACTGCCAAGAGTGAACCCTGATGTAAACTAGGAACTTTAGGTGATAATGATGTGTCAGTGCAGGTTCATCAGTTACAATAAATGAAGCATTCTGGTGGGGGATGTTGATAATGGAGGCTATGCATGTGTTGGGGTAGGGGGGATATGGAAAATCCCCATTAACGTATGCTCAGTTTTGCTGTGAACCTAAAACCTGCTTGAAAAAAAATTTTTTTTTTTAAAGTGGGCCATTGTCCTCTGAAAGTCTCAGAGATTTCTCACTTTAATAGTCTTTTAAATGTCATGAAGTGTTCTACAAATATTTAGAGAATCTAGGAATTCCTGGTAAAATCATGTAGTTGAATATTGGTTTATTTTTTGTGAAATAGATGACTGACAATCCCATGTTCTTTTCTAAACCAATGCATTTGGCTCATAATTTTAATATTGATGGGATGCCATTTTTAACAAGGTTAAAGAGAAGACAAAATACTATATCCTGCTGAATTTATTAAGCTCATGCTCCTGGTTTACAATAGACATGAATTATGTGGGTTTTATGAAGTATGAGTTTGCTGTATCTTTTTTTTTTTAAATAAGAAAGTAAGTGGTGGTATGTTTGGGATCTGAAACTCCATCTGAGTATAATATTATGACCTGTTTCAGTAACAATTTGATTACTATTTAATACTTTAAAAAAAAAGGTGATACATGCTGGGCACATGTATGGCTCATGCCTGTAATCCCAGCACTTTGGGAGGCTAAGGTGGGAAGATTGCTTGAGACCAGTTCTTCAGGACGAGCATAGACAACATAACATGACCCTATCTCTATTTATTTTTGTCTGTTTTTTTAAGAGGTAATACAGTTCTCTAAAGTGACAGTCATGTTTCTAAGAAATTTGCATTTTCAAAAATAAGCACTAAAAATCGTTGTTTCAGTGTATACAAGGGGCTAGGTTCAAAAAGATAATGACATTTTAAAAACAACCTATTTTTACATATAGGGTTTTTAATTTGGGGTTCCTCATCGATACTACAAAACACAGTAAAATTATTAGAGTGACTATTTTCTCAGTTTTCCCAAAGATGTCACATAACTAGTATCCTTCCAGATACATAGGGAGATGTTAATTGCATGCAGTGGGTACCTAGGATGTTAGGGTGTTAATTTTTTAAGGAATCATTTGAGAAGGACTGCTACAAACTATGACTAAAAAAGCTATAAATCCAAACACAAAACATGTGCAGCAATGGATTACATACAGCTTTTACTTAAGAGTAATGGCTTTGCTATTCATATCACCACTGGCATTTTGTTAGTGTCTTAAACTACTATCACACTTATAAATTGCATCATCTTTATTATAACAGACAGTAGATAATGTTTAAGTGTGTGAATTCTGAAGCTAGACTGCCCGGGTTTGAATCTTCCCTCAACACTAACCAGCAGTATACCTCAGTTTCATCTTTGAAATGCTTCAGTTCTAAAATGGGGACAGTTATCAGAGGTGACAATTTAAGGGAGATACACTCTCAAACTATCCGACTCTAAATGCAAAATAAGTTCACTTCTCCCTTGCCTATGGGAAGAAAGGGAAGAACCAGTGTTCCCCACTTTTGGTTTAACCAAGGCAATTCACAAATACACCTTTGGGAAAAGAAAGACACCAATTTAGTATTACTTCACAACAAACCCACTATTGGTTGTTTTCAATTTTCTCCTGTGATAAACAAAGCTGTATCTTTGTATACTTGCTCTTTTATTTTGTAGGTGAAATTTTTTTGGAATTTCTTGGCCAAAGTATAAATTTTGATTACTGTTGTAAAACTGCCCTCAAGAAAGCTTGTACAAAGGGTATAGTTGACAATAGTGCCCATAATTCCATATTTAACTTTGTTTATAGTTCAGTTTTGCCATAATGAAGCTTTTAATGTCATTGTTGCCAGGTCATTAGTCTTTTCTGTTTTTAGCCTTTGGGGTCATGCTTTGAAAGTCTTTGCTCTCCAAGATTCTAAAGATATTCACCTAAAATTTGCTGGTACTTTTGAGTTTTTTTATGTTTATGATTTAATATCCTTGAACTCAGTTTTTTTGTTTGTTTTTTGAAACAGTCTCACTCTGTCACCTAGTCTGGAGTGCAGTGGCATGATCTCAGCTCACTGCAACCTCTGCCTCCCGGGTTCAAACGATTCTCCTGCCTCAGCCTCCTGAGTAGCTTGGACTACAGGCAAGCGCCACCATGCCCAGCTAATTTTTGTATTTTTAGTAGAGACGAGGTTTCACCATGTTGGCCAGGCTGGTCTCGAACTCCTGACTTTAAGTGATCCTGCCACCTTGGCTCCCAAAGTGCTGGGATTACAGGCATGAGCCATCACACCCAGCCTTGAACTCAGTTTTTAAAAAGATAGTTATAGGATCTCTAAGTGTTGAAGTAATTTTTATGCTGGAAAAATTTGAGGTAATATCTTAAGTTTTTTTTTTAAAGTTCTTAGACAAGTTGTTTTGTTGTTTATGTTGTTTTGTTTTTGCTTTGCTGGTATTTCAGCCAGTTTTGTCTTTGAAGACTTGAGGTACATGCAAAACCTATCAGTCCTCAATCAGCTACTTTTTGAGGACTCAGATTATAGGCTTAAAGGTAAACTACAGAGATGTACAAGAGCTTTAAAAACTTTAAAGTGCCGAAAGTGTGCTCTCAATGTTCTTTGCATTCCAGGTCTATATTATCTTTTTATGTAAAGGATGACAGTGTTAGTAATATAGAAGTGATAAGTAGAGTAAATTAAATTGCTTTTATTTTTTATTAGTTTTGATTTATTTCCCAAGGTGAGATAAATCCCTTTTAATAAAATAACCTAGCCTGGAAACTTTGTGATTACCTTTTTGACTATGCAGACCACTTTTTTTGTAGGTGTGGGTAAAACTTTAGGAGAACAAAAGAAATGATAATAAAAATTTTGTATAGTTTGTCTTTATTGTTGTAGCAACTTTGTCCTCTTACTTATATCATACTTAAAAACATCTTGAAGTTCATTCCTTATTGTATTTGGTTCTGTGTTTATAAAGGAAGAAGAGAATTTTTAATATCATCTAAAATGTTTGCACTGCCAGATTGAAAAATGCTTTGTTATCTCTGAAAACAAAATGATCAAAATAGTTCTTCAGTAGAAGCTATAAGCTGCTTTTTATTAAAACATACAGGCCAGGCGCAGTGGCTCGTGCCTGTAATCCCAGCACTTTGGGAGGTCCAGGCAGGTGGATCACCTGAGGTCAGGAGTTCGAGACCAGCCTGGACAACATGGTGAAACCCCATCTCTACTAAAAACACCAAAAATTAGCTGGACATAGTGGTGGACGCCTGTAATCCCAGCTCCTCAGGAGGCTGAGACAGGAGAATCATTTGAACCCAGGAGGTGGAGGTTGCAGTGAGCCGAGATTGTGCCATTGCACTCCAGCCTGGGCGACAAGAGCAAAACTCCGTCTCAAAATACATACATACATACATACATACCTGCATGAATGTCAAGTAATTGAGACTGATTCAGACATCCCTGTTTTAAACTAGAATTGTAAACTCTCAGTTGACAGCTTCTTAGTAAACACATGCACAACAAGTATATTTAGTGTCTAAACGTTTTCCTGAGATATTACAGTTATCATAAATTTAAGGCTTGGCCGAGTGTGGTGGCTCATGTTTGTAATCCCAGCACTTTGGGAGGCCAAGGAGGGTGGATCACCTGAAGTCAGGAGTTCAAGACCAGCCTGGCCAACGTGGTGAAACCCCATCTCTACTAAAAATATAAAATTAGCCAGGTGTGGTGGCATGTGCCTGTAATCCCAGTTACTCGGGAGGCTGAGACAGAAGAATTGCTTGAACCCAGGGAGCGGAGGTTGCAGTGCCAAGATCGTGCCACTGCACTCCAGCCTGGGCAACAGAATGAGACTCCGTCTCAAAGAAAAAAAAAAAATTAAGGCCTAAGGTCTCTGCTGTTTACTAGTTTACTATGTATCAATTCTTTATACTCCAGTCATAAATAAGAAATTAGGTGTAAACAGTTATAGTGGTTCATATAGTGCCTGATACACAAAGGGCATTGATAAATCAATTTAAATTGTTACATTTTGTAAATGTACTCCTTAGTAAAATTTAAGACTTACACTTTTATTTTAAGTAAAACACTTAAATAGCTCTTAGAAATGTTATTCTGGCCAAGTGCGGGGCCTCACTCCTATAATCCCAGTGCTTTGGGAGGCCAAGGCGTGCAGATCACTTGAGGTCAGGAGTTTGAGACCAGCCTGGCCAACTTGATGAAACCCCATCTCTACTAAAAATACAAAAAGTTAGGCATGGTGGCGCATGCCTGTAATCCCAACTACTTAGGAGACTGAGGCACGAGAATCACTTGTACCTGGGAGGCGGAGGTTGCAGTGGAGCTGAGATCACACCACTGCACTCCAGCCTGGGAGACAGAGCAAGACTCTATCTCAAAAAAAAAAAAAAATTCTATTTTCTAGTTAAATTATCTGTTTGATAGCGTAGTTAATTTTTAATATTTTCTCACAGACTTACATGTAAAAGTCAACAAACAGACCCTTGGCCACTTGTGTGAAGTGGCTATTTAACCATGAAATAAACTCTTTTTATTGCCACTGCCCTGTGGGTATGTTCTTTCTGGCAGTGCTGTCCATATTTGGTGGCTATGCATGGAGAGCCAGGTGGTGCTGAAAAGCATCACACAGTGAAGCGTGGATATATCTTGGTTTGACATTTGTCGTCCCTTACTGCTGAAGGGAGGGGGAAAATCTGTTTTTCCATATGTTTATGCTTTATTTTGCCTGCAGTTTTGTCCAGATGGTCTTATGAACATTGTTTACTTTGGGATGCCATCCCAGATGTTTTGAAAACTGTTGGATAAATGTGGCACACAGATACATTTGCATATTATGGTTTTTAAAATGTTATGTGTCTTTGCAAGATTAAAATATAATTTATTTCTAGGAGTATTTTCCCAAGTGAATAATGTGTCTGTGTATATATGTATTTTTTAATGTTTTTTAAAACAGGCCCAATAGGCGTCGTGTATATATATTTCATAAGTATATAAAACATATATAGTTATTATCTATAGGTTATTTCTTCCAGCCATTCTGTTTTCATGTTAATAAGCTAAAAAATATTGTGGCAACATTTATTAAGAATGTTAAGTCTGCTTCATGTTTTGGAAGAAGCCAAAAAAAAAAAGATATTTTTGAGGAGTCATATTTGTTTAGGGTTGCATATACCCAAATCTGTAAGAATCTTGACCTACTGTCTTTTATAATTCTTCTCATTGTACATAAATCACTGAAGAGAATTTAGGTGGTAAAATGACAATGAATTTATAATCAGAAGATTATCATTGTGACCTTGGGCATATCACTTAACCTGTTGGAGACTGAGTTTTATAAATGTAAAATCAGAGTTAACAGCCTGAAAAAATTGAGTAATGCTTGGATTTAATTTCTCTCTCATCTTAAATCTCTCAAAAATCACTATGAAACCACCTTTTGGCAACAGCAATAATGAGAGTCTGAACCCATCCTATTCTAGGTTCTATTTACAGTCTCAGATATAAACAAGAAGCAGACTGTTCTGTCTGTAAACCCAGCCAGCATCCATATCAGGGTTCCTCTTGTTTGTGTAGTGCTTCTTAAGTACTGACTGGCTTTTTTCATTTGCTTTTATATTCATTTGAAAACTACCTGGCCTCTTCCCCCTTTTCTTTTTTCCATGCCTGGTGTTTGTACTTCAGTGACCCACTTCATTGATTGTGCTGGCCTTTGCCCCCAAGCTCTAGTGTGGGGTTTATTATTTATTATAATATTTGGAGGACAGGAAAAGAGACCTATCTTGCTAGTTCTTTTCTGCTTTACCTCAGGATTCTGGAGTTGGGAGTTAAAAATAGCTCCTTAATATCTGAACACATTCCAATAACAACCAATAACATTTAAAGAATAAAAAAAACAGGAATAGGGGGAAACCAGTTAATAGCGTTTATAAAAACTATTGTAGCACAGGATAAAAGTTGTTAGAACTTAAAGAAAACTTTTTTCCATGAAATAGGTTTGCTTAATGAAAGAAACATCTTCTGCTGGGCGCGGTGGCTCACACCTGTAATCCCAGCACTTCCTGCTCCTTAGAACAGGGCCACTCCCACTCGGGTTCATCTCCTTTAATGTTGTTTACAGAAGTGGGGCAGGTGTCATAATTTATTTCCTCTTAAGAACTTGTCAGAGACGTAAGAAGCTAACCCACTAGTTCTGCTGTTTAATCTTGCAGATTTTTATGTGTTTCGAATTTTTATTATGAACAGTCCCCCCAGTGCTGTACCCCTTTGGCAGGAAGAGCAAGAGTAAGAGATGTTCCCCTATTTCCATCAATCAGCCAAATATTTATAAGTTAATTAGTAATGCAAGGCAGCATGTCAGTATTAGGTGAAAAAAACATGTAATTGTAAAGAACTATAAAATCTAAGGGCTGGCTGGCTACGGTGGCTCACACCTGTAATTCCAGCACTTTGGGAGCCCGAGGTGGGTGGATCACTTGAGGTCAGGAGTTTGAGACCAGCCTGGCCAACATGGTGAAACCTCTTCTCTACTAAAAAAAAAAAAGAAAAAAAATACAAAAATTAGCTGGGTGTGGTAGTAGGTGCCTGTAATCTCAGCTTCTTAGGAGGCTGAGACACGAGAATCACTTGAACCTGGGAGGCGGAGGTTGCAGTGAGCTGAGATTGCACCACTGCACTTCAGCCTGGGCTACAAAGTGAGACACTGTTTTTTAAAAAAGAAAAAATCTGAGGGCTGAAAGGAATTTAAAAGAACATCTAGTTAAAACTAAAGCATTTCAGAACTTGGGAATTTCTTATCAAACTTCAAATTATCATAATTTTGATTCAGAGAGTAATCTGCTAAATACATGTAGTCAACCATGTCAGTAAATGTTAGGAATTGTTCTTTGTTTTCATATTAGTAAACATGAACTGATAATATAATTTTCTTTTTTTCTTTTGAGACAGAGTCTCACTCTGTCACCCAGACTGGAGTGCAGTGGCATGATCTCAGCTCACTGCAACCTCTGCCTCTCAGGTTCAAGTGATTCTCATGCCTCAACCTCCTGAGTAGTTGGGACTACAGGCTTGCACGCACCACCACGCCCAGCTAATTTTTGTATTTTTAGTAGAGACGGGCTTTCACCATCTTGGCCAGGCTGGTCTTGAACTCCTGACCTCAAGTGATCCACCTGCTTCAGCCTCCCAAAGTGCTAGGATTACAGGCCTGAGGCACCGTGGCCAGCCTAATATAATTTTCAAATCTGCATTAATTATACAAATCTGTAAGCACAAAACATGCACTTATGTGTCATATACTTAGGTATTTTACTTTTTGTATTACAGTGTGGTTCTGTTTATTTTTAAAAAACTTTTAATATGAACATTTTCAAATTCACAGAAATGTTGCAAGAATAATACAAAAATTGCCACTATAGGATGGTGATTTTCCTAATTCTGTCATTTCTTCTATTAGCTGGCATTCTCTTATAAGGAAGTCTCTTCCCTACTTTTTCTCATTTAAAAAATCTGTTACCAATTCAGATTCATTCTGTGAATAATAATCTATTATACTACCCTTACTTATTTTTATGATCAAATTATCTGAATTGAACGAGCTGGTCAAAATCCCTGTGTATTTTGACTTATTCCCAATCACACATTTTGAGCACTTCCTTACTCTCTGGCATGGCAAAATGTTATGGGTTCATTTTGCATCTTTGCTACCCTGGGTTAAGAATCAGCCTTTTCCCCTAGACGTCCTTATTTCTTTTCATGGGTAATGGTATTTAGAAGTTAGACCTTTTCTACTTGTTCTCGACTGTTCTTTTACATTTAGTTTTTTAATTCATCTGCAATTTATTCTGTAATATAGTGTGAGGTGCAGATCTGTATACTAAAGTTTAAATTAATTCCTCTAGCAATAAAATATAAAACCAAAGATAGTTGTGTTTATATTCTTCCCCTTCAGGAACACTGATTCAGGGAGATAATCTTATTTAAATTTAATTTTAAATAATGTATATAAATTATGTTAAGTGACATATTTATCTTTACATCTTGTGTCAGTTATTTTTTCTCTAACTTGTAGGTGCATTTTCTAGAATCATGAAACTTTGTGAAGAAAAATGTGAAACAGATGAAATACAGAAGGGAGGAAAATGCAGAAATTTATCTGTAAGAGGAATTACAAATTTAGGAAATACTTGCTTTTTTAATGCAGTCATGCAGGTAAGAGTCATCAGAAAGCTTTGTAATATGTAAAAGATTCTCTTAATTTATGTAGTCATTGGCTCACCTGTAGACTGTCAAATGACTGCTAAATGTTCCTCTAGAAATTTCTCTGTTTTCCTTTTGTTTACGCTATCTTGGGCCATCACCATATGTATACATGTACCTTATTTTCACACAGGGCTTCTGAAAGGTCTTCTGTGTATTTTACCATGGCTCTATCGGTAATAGTGACCTTTACTAAATGTAAAATGTACTCAACTAAATCTTAATATTTTTTGAAATAGACACTTTTGCTATGCTAGATGAAATTTGAGAGTGTATTCCATAAAATCAGAGGCATATTTTAACTGAATCTGAAGACTTTAATTTTGTTTTCTTTTAGAACTTGGCACAGACTTATACTCTTACTGATCTGATGAATGAGATCAAAGAAAGTAGTACAAAACTCAAGATTTTTCCTTCCTCAGACTCTCAGCTGGTGAGTAATAACTGTTTGAATAATAGCTGCTTTCAGATGAGCCACTGATGTTACCAAAATCTCTTTTCCTAATTCGCAGATCAGTCAACTAAGATAGTAGCCAGGGGGCTTAAAAATAATTTAAAAGCATTCTGTGAAAATAATCAGATTTAAAATTTCTAAAATCATAACTTTAAGGTATGTTATGGTTCCAATATGCCATGGATCAAATAATAAAAAGATATCAAGGCAGCTTTAAAATAAACATACTGGAAGAAACAAAAGAGGTGTGACTTCTATTGAGCAAAATGCCTATAACCCCTATTTTGTAGTTTCTGGTGACATTTGTTTAAATTTAGCATTTTTGTTCTTTAAAGAAAGATGAAATTTTAATAGTGAGCATCTAAAGGTTTTTTTTTTGAGACGGGGTCTCGCTCTGTCGCTGGAGTGCAGGCTGGAGTGCAGTGGCGCGATCTCAGCTCACTGCAAGCTCCGCCTCCCGGGTTTATGCCATTCTCCTACCTCAGCCTCCTGAGTAGCTGGGACTATAGGCGCCCGGCTAACTTTTTTTTTTTTTTTTTTTTTTTGTATTTTTAGTAGAGACGGGGTTTCACCATGTTAGCCAGGATGGTCTTGATCTCCTGACCTCGTGATCCACCCGCCTCGGCCTCCCAAAGTGCTGGGATTACAGGCGTGAGCCACCACGCCCGGCCACATCTAAAGGTTTTTTGAAGCCTAGCCTGATGATAGATTTTTAAGCTAGTGAGAAAGATGAAAAAAAGAGCAGCCCCTGATATTCAGAAGCTGGCCTGGCACCAACAGTTAGGCCATGTTATTCAGATAATCCCACAGAATAACAATCTGATAGTAGGTTTCTCTGAGACTACGATGAAATAAGACAAAGCAAGTCCACTTCATGATTTTGTCTAAAACAAGATCACTTTGCCATTTAGAAAATCTGAAACACCCTCCTTCAGCCAAAATGAGAAATGAAGGAATGCTACTTTACTAGTTAGAGATTTATCCTCATTTTAGTCTCCCCCACCAACTGCCACAATATGTAAGATTTATTGAGATGTCCCATGATAGAATTAGCCTCGCTTTCTGAGGGCATTCACTCTAGAGTAAACCTCTGCTTCCTGAAACCCACCTTCAGGTTATTCAACCAGAGCCTAAATCCTGGGTAGGTTCTTTACAGCACTCTCTTACTAGGACACCCTGTGGTTCCCCATGCTGCGTGATCTCCCTCACTGCCACAAGTAATAAACCCACCTAGTTCAACGATAGGTGTGTTTCTGATGGACTTTGGCTGGGAGGTGTTGATACTAGTAAGGATAATTTTAGTGAGAAATTGATCAGCCTGTGTGTGTGTGTTTGTGTGTGTGTGTAAGTGTGTAAGTCAGAGTATATGTATAGCTCATGATCTGACTTTTGAAAACAATTAAAGAGTTCTAAAAATGCTTAGCCCTCTAAACATGCTTAGTAATCTTAGATTGTTTTTCCCAGTAGGCACTTTTGAAAGACAGTATTGTTTTATATATATATCTTTGAAAGACAGTATTATTATATATATAACATACTGTTATATATATATAATAACCTCCTTTTTATATATATATTTACATGTAAATGTTTACCATATATATATGTATATATAGTCGAAAAGCAGCCTGTAAACATTTGTTCAGCCCCTTAAAAATTTAATGATAGATTCCAATGCCCTATTCTAAATAAAGTGTAGTGAGATCCTTAAAACTACTAAAGGGAAGTTATTGCCTAGTCATTTAAAAAGACCTGTTAAATGTGATTTCCTGTTAAATGCGATTGGATGTTGAGTTTAAATATTTGACATGCAGAGCTGTGTTTCAGGATTACTATATGGCAATTAGATACTGTAGTTAATAACTTTAGGTTTGTATCATTCTAACAGGGTAATTTTGAATCTTATATCTTAGGTTTTTAGGGCATAAAGTTGACCTGAGCTGTGGCACTGTTCTTTGAGTTGGTTACTGCCCTTTGAATCACCAGTTTATCTTTGTCTTTTGTCTATATACCGTTTATTTTTTTATTTTTATTTTTTTACCTTATTGTGCTGGCTCAGAGCTCCAGTAACATGTTGAATAGAGATGATGGGAGCAGTCAGCCTTGCCTTAATCCCAAAATTAGGGGAACAAACATTCAGCCTTCTCCCATTATTACATACGAAGGTACGATTTTCAGAGGTGTTCTTTGTAAGCTTGAGGACATTCCTTTCTATTGCTAGTTTTCTGAAAGTTTTATCGGAATGGATGTTGAATTTTGTCAAATGCTTTTCCCACATCTATTGAGATGATCATATGGTTTTTCTTCTTTATTCTGTTAATGTGGTGAATTACACTGATTCCTTTTTCAAGTGTTAAACCTATCCTGTATTCTTGTTACAAACCCCAGTTATGATATGCTTATATGCTGCTGGATTCAATTTAATATTTATGCGCATATCAACAGTGTGTGTGGAAAACTTTTTATTTAATGAAAATATTCTTTAAAATGTATATTATGAGTGTATAACTTGATGAATTTTCACAGCTAACACACTTGTGTAACTAACACCTTGCTCAAGTAACATTACCAGCATCTGGAAGGCCCCTTCAACTCCCCCCCACATTCACTACTTCCCTAACCCACATGAGTAACCACTAACCTGGTTTCTAACAGGATAGATTAGTTTTGCCTGTTTTAATACTGCATATAAATGGAATCTTACTATATACATTATTTTGCATTTGGCTTCTTTCTGTCAACATTATGTGTGAAATTCATCCTTCTTGCGTTTTCAGCAAACTTTTGTTTTCAAAGTTTAAGTGTATTTTTTATTTTTATTTTATTTATTTTTTGAGATGGAGTCTTGCTCTGTCACCCAGTCTGGAATGCAGTGGCACGATCTCGGCTCACTGCAACCTCTGCCTCGTAGGTTCAAGCAGTTCTCTTGCCTCAGCTTCCTGAATAGCTGGGACTGTAGATGCGTGCCACCACACCCAGCTAATTTTTTTTTTTTTTTTTTTTGTATTTTTAGTGGAGACAGGGTTTTGCCATGTTAGCCAGGCTGGTCTCAAACTCCTGACCTCAAGTGATCCACCTGCCTCGGCCTCCCAAAATGCTAGGATTACAGGCGTGAGCCACTGCGCCAGGTCTAAATGTACTTTTTAAAACTAAGGTTATTTCCTCATCTCATTCTGAAGGTTTTTTATTCTGTCTAAAAAATATTTTCATTGAGAAAAGGGAAGTGCAACTTGGTACTTGAAGTTTAAAATTACCTTAGATTTTACTTTTGACCCTTGAGGTAACTTTCAGTTAACATGGCAGAAAACACTTTAAAAAAAAATAGACTTTATTTTTTAGAGCAGTTTTAAGTTTACAGCAGAAGAGAAAACACTTTTTTTTTTTTTTTTGGAGACAGTCTCATTCTGTCACTCACACTGGGGTGCAGTGGTGCCATCATGGCTCATTGCAGCCTGGGCTTAAGGGATCCTCCCACTTCAGCCTCCTGAGTAGCTCGGACTGCAGGCACGTGCCACTACACTTGGCTAATTTTTAAATTTTTTTTGCAGAGACGGAGTCTCCCTATGTTGCCCAAGCGGGCCTTCCACTCTGGGCTCAAGTGATCCTTCCACCTTGGCCTCCCAAAGTGTGGAGGTTACAGATGTGAGTCATGGCATCCAGCCCAGAAAAGCACTTTTGACATTCAAAAGCTATGGAAGGCCGAGCACCATGGCTCATTCCTGTAATCCCCTAGCACTTTGGGAGGCCGGAGTGGGAGGATCACTTGAAGCCAGGAGTTTAAGACCAGCCTGGGCAACAAAGTGAGACCCCCCCTCTACCCCCGTCTCTACAAAAATTTTAAAAATCAACTGGATATGCTGGCATTCATCTGTAGTCCCAGCTGCTCAGGAGGTGGAAGCAGGAGGATCACTTGGGTCCAAGAGTTTGAAGTTACAGTGAGCTGACCGCACCACTGCACTCCAGCCTGGGTGACAGAGTGAGACTTCGTCTAAAAAAAAAAAAAGAAAAAACACAAAAGTCTGTCTTGAGTCCTCTGTAATTTTGACTGGGTGTGGTGGCTCATGCCTGCGATCCCAGCTACTTGGGAGGCTGAGGCGGGAGGATTGCTTGAGCCTTAGGAGTTCAAGACCAGCCTGGGCAACCCTGTCTCTTTAAAAAAAAAAAAAAAAAAAAACTATGGAAAATTATAGCCTGTCCTTTCTGTGATTATAGTGGATTTTTAAGGATAGTTGTTATAAAATACATATGTAACAGTTATTTCATGAATATAGGAATAGGACAATATATTCAATAGTTATCTTGGAAGATAACATTCTTTTTTTTTTTTTTTTTTTGAGACGGAGTCTCGCTCTGTCGCCCAGGCCGGACTGCGGACTGCAGTGGCGCAATCTCGGCTCACTGCAAGCTCCACTTCCCGGGTTCACGCCATTCTCCTGCCTCAGCCTCCCGAGTAGCTGGGACTACAGGCGCCCGCCACCGCGCCTGGCTAATTTTTTGTATTTTTAGTAGAGACAGGGTTTCACCTTGTTAGCCAGGATGGTCTCGATCTCCTGACCTCATGATCCACCCGCCTCGGCCTCCCAAAGTGCTGGGATTACAGGCGTGAGCCACCGCGCCCGGCCGGAAGATAACATTCTTTAATGTCCCAAGTTTATATTTGGGATCTGCTTTCTATTCCTTGTCCTTTAGGAGAAAGTGTTATTGGTGGGGATAGTACTTTAGAAACCAGATTTCGAGGGGAAAAAAATTCTAGAATTAAATGGGTTAATCCTTCACCCAATGTTAGCTGCTTTTGTCAAGCTTTATGTCTCTCCCCTTTAAAAGAGGGAGATGTTATGCTGATTTTGTTACATGATTCCACATTATTACTTTACTAGTAAAATATTTGGGGAAAAGAAAGGTGTATAATCCTACATTATACACAAATAATCATACATTATTTACTAGCAAATAATGTATGATTATTCGTGGAGTGGTACAAACATTAAGTAGATTAGTGATTTTATTTATAGGAGAGTGCATTAAAGGACAGTGACAAGCAACTAAAGATTGGTGATATCATTTGATCTAATAGTTTTATTAAGCAAAGGGCAGAGGATATGAAAATACCTGTGTTTTTCAAGGCAGGTATTCTGTTTTCCATTTTTATATATTTTATTTATGAAATAATAAAGTTTCTTAATACAATTGAGGCAATTTAGTTGGTGTTATTTAAGCAGAGTGTAACTCACAGATTTTTAATATGTTATTTTTAAATTGTACATTTCTGACATAGAGTTGATCATGTTTTTAAAGGACCCATTGGTGGTGGAACTTTCAAGGCCTGGACCACTGACCTCAGCCTTGTTCCTGTTTCTTCACAGCATGAAGGAGACTGAAAAAGGACCACTTTCTCCTAAAGTTCTTTTTAATCAGCTTTGTCAGAAGTGGGTGCATCTACATTTAATATAAATAATTATGAGTTACAAAATACTAATGTATTCATCATTTAACATGAATAGTCGTTTTTACTGTAACTTTGCTCTTATTGCCCTGACTATGAAGAGAACTAAAATTTGTTACAGCTCTATGCTTTATGAAAATTATATCTCAGTCCTCAGAAGAAGCAGCTTATCCTCATATATAAGGAAATGGAGACACAGAAATTAAATGGCTCACCTAGTCTGAGTGAAAAGCTGAGAATCAAATGGAGATCTGTCCTGACTTGGATGCCTATGTTGTAATACCATAAAGTGAGAAAACCATAGAGTTGTAAAATCTAGAAAGTACCGTAAGATAACATCTAATCTAGCTTTCTTATTTTAAAAGATGAGCTGTGAGGCAAATAGAGTTTAAGTGAATTTCTCAAGGTATTACAGTATGTTTAAAAACCAAATCCTTATGTGCCTGGAAATAAACACATAAAGGATCTGACTTGACTTTAATGCATTCATGTATTCATTTATATAAAAAATTGAGAGCTTGCTTTTTATGAGGTACTTGCTACAATTCAGGGGTACACAACATATATTGCGTCACAAATGCACCCTGTCCTCATGGAACTCACAAGCTAGTCCAGTCCACAATTACTAAAATATGTAGAAGGAAAATTATTTGAATATGAGCTTGTGTTTTTGTATATCTATAGACTTTAAAATCTCATTTTAATTAAAACTAGTAATGAATGCCATGATATTTTAAATATAGTCCAAAATAGAGGGCTTAGTGTATGTTTCATTTGGTTGGCAAATGATGTTTCTTCAAAGCCTGAGGACCAAAAAAACCTGCAAAATTCTCAGAGGCATGAGTGTCTCACAGAGTTAAAAAGTTTTTAGCACAGCCATAATAAAGAATGAAATCATATTCTTTGCGACAACATGGATGCAGCTGGAGGCCATTATTCTAAGTGAATTAATGCAGGAACAGAAAACCAGATACCACATGTTCTCATAAGTGGAAGCTAAACATTGGGTACTCATGGACATAAAGATGGCAACAGTAGAGAGTGGGGATTACTAGAGGTGGGAGAGATTGAGGGAGGAAGGGTTGAAAAACTAACTATTCGGTACTATGCTTAGTACCTGAGTGACGGGATCATTCGTACTCCGGACCTTTGCATCACACAATATACCCAGATAACAAACCTGCACATGTACCCCTTGAATCTAAAATAAAAGTTGAAATTAAAACAAAAAAAGTTACTAGGTCATTGTATGCTTTAGAAATTTGTTTCTGACTTTGCCAGAAATAACTTGTTTTGTATAGTTTTCTTCCTGGTTATAAAGGTTTATTAACATTTTAAAAATTACTATTAAAATAATGGGCACTCATAGATAAAAATTCAAACTCCTCTCTATCTTTACTCCTCAGAAGTAACTATTATCTGATTCTTTCCAAAAGTGATCATACATACACAGACATATGCAAATTTTTTGCAACTTGCTTGATATATTTTATACATCTTTCCATGTTAGCACATGTGTGTATAACTTACTCAGTTTTGTATGAATACACTGTACTTGCGGAAGTACATCTGTAGGATAAATTCTTAGAATAACTAGATCAAACATTATTTGAAGATTTTTATGTATTTTTTGTATTTTTTAGGAGACAGGGTCTCGCTCTGTGCCCAGGCTCAAGTGCAGTGGCCCAATCATAGTCGAATTCCTGGGCTCAAGCATGCCTCCCTGCTCAACCTCCCAAGTAGCTGGGATTACAGGCATGAGCGTCATCCATGCTTGGCTGAAAAGTTTTAAATTGCCTTTTTTTTGTTTGTTTTATGGCGTTTACTTTTAAAAGAAGTATACATTAGACAAATATATTTTTTTAAAATCAAGTAAAGATTTAAGCCACATGTGTTTGGGTTTATTTCTGAACTATATTCTGTTTCATTGATCTACATGTCTTGTCTTTACCCCAAAGCCTACACTGTCTTGATTACTGTAGCTTCATAGTAAGTCTTGCAATTGAGTAGCATAAGTTCTCAAATTTTGGTCATCCTTTTCAAACTATTCTAGGTCCTCTTTTTTTTTTTTGAGACGGAGTTTCGCTCTTGTTGCCCAGGCTGGAGTGCAATGGTATGATTTTGGCTTACCACAGCCTCCACCTCCTGGGTTCAAGCAATTCTCCTGCCTCAGCCTGGGATTACAGGCGCCCGCTACCACACCCGGCTAATTTTGTATTTTTACTAGAGATGGGGTTTCTCCATGTTGGTCAGGCTGGTCTTGAACTCCCAACCTCAGGTGATCTGCCCACCTTGGCCTCCCAAAGTGCCAGGGTTACAGGCGTGAGCCACTGCGCCTGGCCGGTCCTTTGCTTTTTTATGTAAATTATAGAATCAGATTGTCAGTTGGGATTGTTTTGAATGTGTAGATCAATTTGGGGAGAATCAACATCTTAACAATGTTGAATCTTTTCATGTATGATATCTTACCAGTTTTCTAGGTCTTTGATTTTTCTCATCAAGGGTGTATAGTTTTCAGCATACAAATCCCGCACATATTTTGTTAGATTTATCTTAAGAATTTCATGTTTTTATGCTATTTATTGTAAATGGTACTCTTTTTAAAGAATTCAATTTCCAATTGTTCATTGTTAATATACAGAAATACAGTTGATTTTTGTATGTTGACCTTGTTTCTTGCTACCCTACCCAACTTGCTTTACTAGTTCTCTTAGCTTTATGTTGATTCGTTGGTATTTCCTATGTAGACAATGTCATTGGCAAATGAAGATTGTTTTCTTTCTTTCCAATCTGTATCATTTTATATCTTTTTCTCATTTTATATCACTGTCAGGGACAACCAATACATATTGCAATAGGACTCTTCTTGGAAAAAAAATGAAAAAGGACCACCAATACAATGTTAGAATGGTGAAATAGGCATCTTGCCTTATTCCTGATATTAAAGGGAGAGCATGCAGTCTTTCACACGTAAGTGTGATAATAACTATAGAGTTTTCATACATGCCTTTTATCAGGTTGAGGAAATTCCCAATTATTCTTAGTTTTTCTTTTTTCTGAGAGTTCTTATTAAGAAATGGATTTTTTAAAAATGCTTTTTCTGTATCCAAATAATCTTTTTTTTTTTTTTTTTTGTCTGTTGGAATAGTAAATTGTATTGGTGGATATTCTGGCTAGCTTTAGTAAGGTATATGTGACATAAAATAAATTGTACATATTTAAAGTGTACTACTGGGGCCAGACACAGTGGCTCATGCCTGTAATCCCAGCAGTTTGGGAGCCAAGGTGGGAGAACTGCCTGAGGCCAGGAGTTTGAGACTAGCCAGGACAACATAGGGAGACTCTATGAAAAAAAAATTAGCCAGAGGTGTGATGGTGCACACCTGTAGTCCCAGCTACTCTAGAGGCTGAGGTAGGAGGATCACTTGAGCCTAGGAGTTTTGAGTGTTCAGTGAGCTGTTAATGTCATTGCACTCCTGTCACCCCTGTCTCTCTAAAAAATAAAATATACTATTGGATAAGTTTTGACATATCTATACACTTTGTGTATGTGTGTGTGTGTGTGTGTGTGTATATATGTATATATACATACATTCATTCAATGTAATGAATGTATCCATCACCCCCCAAAGTTTTGTTGGGCCCCTTTATAATCCCTTTCTCTAGAACCTCTCCCCTAAACTCCATCCCTGGGTGGTATACCCCTTACCTGTTTTTTTTTTTGTTGTTGCAATAGATTAGTTTGCATTTTGGGGAATTCTATAGAAATGGAATCATACAGGGTGTACTCTTTTTTTATCTGACTTCCTTCACTTGGCATAATTTGTGGTTTATTCATATTGTGTGTACATGAACCAGTCTCTTGAAGTTTCTGTTATAGTGGTGATTATCACACACTTTGACCACTTGTGATGAGCCTTATTTGGGAGCAAGGTCTTCAACTTTGTGGTTTTTGTTTGTTTTATTTGGTTTTCTGCTTCTGCATTAGTTCACTTAGGGTGATGGCTTTCAGCTGCTTCCATGTTGCTTGCTGCAAAGGATATGATTTTGTTCTTTTTTATGGCTGTGTAGTATTCCATGGTGTATATGGACCACATTTTCTTTATCCAATCCACCATATATGGGCACCTAGGTTGATTCCATGTCTTTGCTATTGTGAATAGCACTGTGATGAACATAGAAGTGGATTAAATTTCTTTTTCTTGACAGTCTCCTAATTTATGCTTGTACATATATTTTTCTCTCATGCCTTGAGGTTTTTAAAAGTCCTCTCCTCTTTCTCATGGCAATACTTTTACTAAAGTACATTTCCTGGGAATCCTTAGGGTTCCCCTTATTTTGAATAGGCTGAATATTTTCATATGTTTGGTGATTTTTATCTTTTAATCCTTTAATAGGTTTGAAAGTCTCTCTTGATATGGGTAGCTCAGATAGGCTCCATCATAGAGTCTAGAAATCATCCTATGATTTTTTTTTGCCCATTCCTAGGTTAAAAAAAAAAAAAAAAAAAAAAAACAAATCTAAGTTTATTAAATTTTCTTCAGTGGTTTAGAAGGCAGTAAATAGTTTTTGCATTGGTTGAGAAGGAGCTATAGGCAGAGACATGGTGGAGGCAGTTTCTCTTTGTTCAGGAATGATTTCCTCCTTGTGTGTCTGCTTTGAAAGCCATAAACTGCCCCCTCCTCCTACCTACCACTTGGCTAGTGAAGATCTCTGAGGGATTCTCCTGTTCCCTCCTCTAGTCATCTGCTACTTCACTGGCCTTCCTTGGAGTATACAGCATAAGTATAGGGTTCTGCAGTTTCTGCCTCTCCTGATGCCAGCTGTGGAGGTCCAAATAGGATTAGAATATGTGTCCATCTTGGTTTCTGTCCTCATCTCTAATCTAGGAGGTGGGTTCTGTCCACCAAGTGCAGGTAGGGAAGCCCATCAAGGTAATAAAGTATTGTCAGCATGTTGCTATGTGCTGCTAGTTAGCAAGAATGTCTGGAGTGGTGTTTCCTCTTACAGGCTGGATTGATGACCGGTTAATGTTTTAGCAGTCAGGGACTCACTTTCTTTGTATTATTAGGATTAATATTTATCCTGAGATAATGAAGAATAATGCTGAAAGTACTGCACTTGGCCGGGCGTGATGGCTCATGCCTGTAATTCCAGCACTTTGAGAGGCTGAGGTGGGTGGATCATTTGAGGTCAGGAGTTCGAGACCAGCCTGACCAACATGGAGAAACCCCACCTCTACTAAAAATACAAAAATTAGCCGGGCACGATGGCAGGTGTGGCCAGCAACTGTAGTCCCAGCCACTCAGGAGGCTGAGGCAGGAGAATTGCTTGAACCCAGGAGGCGGAGGTTGCAGTGAGCTGAGATTGTGCCACTGCACTCCAGCCTAGGTGACAGAGTGAAACTCCATCTCACAAAAATAAAAATGAGATAATAATTAAAAATAATTAAGTACTGCACTCTGTCAAAAGACCTGTAGTTATGTTAGTGGCACTTAGCTTGTTCTTCGATTTTCTCAAGCATAAAGTAGAACTTATATTAATTATAAATTCCTGAACAGTGCTGTTTTGTATATCACATGAGATATGTTGTAAATATCATAAATAGTTGTAAATGTGTCTTCTACTATAATATATTCTAATTATTTTGTATTTTGACAGAATTATTTCTTCATCTTAGGTCTGAACACTTTCTAGATTTAATACTTGTCTGCACTTAAGGCAAAATGTTCATTTTAGCATAGAGTTTACTGTAGGTTACTTTTTAAAGTTACTGAAATCAACCAAATATTTCCTATGTCAGTGTCTCCATGAATAGTACCTGATCTTTCTATTAAGTTAATACAGAGGAAATTTAATTATCAAGTCCTTAAAAAACATATTCACAGGGAGATCAACTTATAGTCCTTTATATGAAATAGAAACACTCTCTTGCTTTCCTTTTGGTTAAGGTAGGAAGATAATAAATCACAGTGGCTTGGGTTTGAATACTGGTTTATTTGCTAGCTGTATGACCTTGCAAATGATTTAAACAATACTGCTGAGTCCTCATGTGTAAGTTGGAGAAAACAGTACATCCCAACAAAGTTGTTGGAGGATTATGCCTGAACATGTGAAAAACTACTAGTATTGTGCTTAACATATAGTAGTTGCTTAATAAATGATAGCCATATTCTCAGTGCACACTTAAGATCACACCCTAATTGGACCAGTAATCACATTTCATCTATTTAGTTGGAAAAGTAGTAAACTGTGTCTTTATGCCATTTTGTGTGTGTGGGTGTGTGTTTTGGTAGAGAACGGGGTTTTGCCTTGTTGCCCAGGCTGGTCTCGAACTCCTGAGCTCAAGTGATCTGCCCCTTGGCCTCCCAAATGCTGGGATTACAGGCGTAGGCTGCCGCACCCAGCTAATAATATGCTATTTCAAGTGCATTTAGAGAAGAGTGTTGATGAACCATGGAATGATTATTCTTTTTTTCTTTCCTCTTTTGTTTTTAAATCACAGGGCACCTCGATTTAAAGATTTCCAGCAACAGGACAGTCAGGAGCTTCTTCATTATCTTCTGGATGCAGTGAGGACAGAAGAAACAAAGGTCAGGTTTCTTTATGTATATCATGTATTCTCTTCAAGAAGAGGATACAAAACTAAGGGATTATTGGGGGGCCAAGGCGGGGTGGATCATCTGAGGTCAGGAGTTTCAGACCAGCCTAGCCAACATAGTGAAACCTCGTCTCTAATAAAAATTAGCCGCGCATGGTGGTGCATACCTGTAATTCCAGCTACTTGGCAGGCTGAGACATGAGAATTGCTTGAACCCAGGAAGCAGAGGTTGCAGTGAGCGGAGATCCCGCTACTGCACTACTCCAGCCTGGGTGACAGAGTGAGACTCTGTCTCAAAAAACAAACAAACAAAAAAACAACTAAGTAAGTAATTTCTATTACAATTTAAAAGTACAGTTGAGAAATAATTTAATTTTTTAGAGTAAATATTCTAGATATTTTTTCTTTCTTCTGTAAGATATTTACCTTTATCCTTTTACAGCCCTATTGTCCTTTTTAGTTAATGTCCTTTGGCTGTAAATAAAATAATTTAAACTAGCTTAAGTAAAAAGGAATTGGGGCCAGGCATGGTGGCTCATGCCTGTAATCCCAACACTTTGGAAGGCTGAGGCAGGTGGATCACCTGAGGTCAGGAGTTCAAGATCAGCCTGGGAAACATGCTGAAACCCTGTCTCTACTAAAAATACAAAAATTAGCCAGGTGTGGTAGCGTGTGCCTGTAATCCTAGCTACTTGGGAGGCTGAGGCAGGAGAATACTTGAACCCCAAGGGTGGAGGTTGCAGTGAGCCGAGATCGTGCCACTGCACTCCAGCCTGGGTGACGGAGTGAAACGCTGTAAAAAAAAAAAAAAAAAAAAGGAATCTTAAGATGCAGGGAGATATTATTCCTGGGCGATAGGGGGATATAGGAACAGGAAAGCTGTCAGGAATCCAGAAAGCATTCTTCTTATTATCCTAGTTTCTCTGGCTCTGTAAATTTTCTTCATTTTTCTCCATGCAGACCAAGCAGTATTTGTATGTCATAGTTCCATGTATGTAAAAACTATACTGGCTATTCATGATTCTCAATTTTTAAATTCCCAGTAGACAGAAACTTCATTATTCCATGTTGGATTAAATTCCACTCATGGATCAGTTGTTTGTGGCTAGGAGAGAGGAGTCCCAGCCTCTTAGATGAGAGAGCATTTCTCAGAAAAGGAATAGCCTGTGGACTGGATAGATTCCCCAGTGTTGATTGTAGGCCTATCCCCTAACTGATAGGCTCTTTATTGACTTTAACGTTAAATTAGTTAAATTCAACTTCTTCTGGGAGGGGTTTCCTGTGCACATAGGATCAGTTTATCAGAGAAAATGCAAGATATTAAGGATATCAGATACACAGCACACATTCTCCATTTTCCTCCCTCTTACTCATAGAAGACATTGCTGATCGTTCCTAACAGTCCAGGTGAGTTTGGGTTCAGCCTCAGAATTATTTTCTGAGCACACCATTGTGGGCAGCCCTTGTCAGTCATAATTGGAGTAATAGGTGAAAACCTGTTTTCCATTCAAGGCAAATATACTTCTTAATCTATATGGTAATATGTAATAAAAGCAGCCAAGTGTTCAGTGAAGTGCATATGTGCTTGTGATAAGTAGTGCTAGGCAAGATGGACCTTCCTTTTTTAAAAAAAATTCTGCCAGATATGGTGGCTCATGCCTGTAATCCCAGCACTCTGGGAGGCCAAGGTGGGCGGATCACTTGAGCTCAGGAATTTCAGACCAGCCTGGCCAATATAGTGAAACCATGTGTCTACTAAAAACACAAAAATTAGCCAGGCGTGGTGGTGCACACCTGTAATCCCAGCTTCTTGGGTGGCTGAGGCATGAGAATTGCTTGAACCCGAGAGGCGGAGGTTGCAGTGAGCTGTGATCGCACCACTGCACTCCAGCCTGGGCAACAGAGCAGAGCCTACCTCAAAAAACAACAAAAATCCTGTTTTAATTGTAGTGTGGCAGTGTCTCTTTACTCCTAGTGACCAGTTTCCAGTGAAGAGAAAATTAGAGTTCTAATATTTTCTTTAAAGTTTCCTTTAAAAGTAAGGATTGAGTTAATTACTCTCTCCTGCTATAAAACATCATGTATCACAATCCTATTTTTAATTGTCTGTTTATTGACTTTCTTATTAAGCTAATTGAATTCAGCTTTTAGAGGTGTCATTCCTTTTCTGCCACCTCTCTACTTTTACATATTTGATCATAAACCCTACCACTTTCTATTTAGATTTATGTCCCTATCTGTCAGCTTTCTTAGATTGTGATCTCTTTGAGGAATGGTACTATGTATTGTCTCTGTCCTGTGTGCCTTGCACATAGTAGATGTTCTGTGAATTTGTGTGTGTGTGTGTGTGTGTGTGTTTTGTTTTTTTTGTTTTTTTTTTGAGACAGGGTCTCACTCTGTCATCCAGGCTGGAGTGCAGTGGCATGATCTCAGCTCACTGCAGCCTCTGCCTCCCAGGTTCAAGTGATTCTCCTGCCTCAGCCTCCCGAGTAGCTGGGATTACAGGGTGTGCCACCATTCCCAGCTAATTTTTGTACTTTTAGTAGAAATGGGGTTTCACCATGTTGACTAGGCTTGCTTATTTATTTAGACAGTGTCTTGCTCTGTTGCTTAGGCTGCAGTGCAGTGTTGTGATCTCGGCTCACTGCAACCTCCAACCTCCTGGGTTCAAGTGATTCTCCTGCCTCAGCCTCCTGAATAGCTGGGATTACAGACACATATCACCAAGCCTGGCTAATTTTTTTTTTTTGTATTTTTAGTAGAGACAGGGTTTTACCACTTTGGCCAGGCTTGTTTCGAACTCCGGACCTCAAGTAATCTGCCTGCCTCGGCCTCCCAAAGTGCTGGGATCACAGGCATGAGCTGCCACTCCGGGCTCCCTGTGAATGTTTTTTGAATGAGTTGTATGTGCTTAACCTTAAACGCAACTTTTTTTTGAGAATTTGAATTGGGAAGAAATCAAAATAATTATTCTTATATGTTATACTAGCTAGTTTCTTTGTGATTTGCAATTATTTTGAATATGTTGTATTTGAATAAACTAATAAACCGACAGGATAATACTGTGTTGTTTTACCTACATTGTGTCTAAAAAAGAAAAAAAAAAAGAGATTTATAATTAGTTAACCATTGAGGATATTAGCGTAGTCCCCTAGCTAGTATTTGATCACATTTTCTTAGAGCTAGGAACTGATACTTAGAGTTGAGCTTCAAACTCAAGTCTTTCTGACTCCCAAACTAATGATCTTTCTAATTCTATAAAATACTGCTGATTGAAGTTTAAATGCTTGGACATCTGTAGTCAGTAGAAATAATGATTTTAAGTCTGCTATTTAAAATGTAACCACAATTATTTTACTATTTGTAAAAGTATTAAATTGGATTCAATAATTATGGTATATTGCTCTTCTTGTTGAGGGGTAGATGCATGTTGGCACGGTGGGAACAGGTTGCTTTTTGTATTGTGAACAATAAATGGGCCTACAGATGATATGAGTTACTTTAAGATTAATTCAGATTTATCAATTGCTAGAATTATTTTTTTCCCCATGATTTGCAGGAATACGTTTACTATGTGGTGGTCATGTATCATTAAATGGAATTAAAAATTATGTAAGTGGGCTGGGCATGGTGGCTCATTCCTGTAATCCCAGCAGTTTGGGAGGCTGAGGTGGGCAGATCGCCTGAGGTCAGGAGTTCGAGACCAGCTTGGCCAACATGGTGAAACCCCGTGTCTACTAAAAATACAAAAATTAGCCAAGCATGGTGATGC
This sequence comes from Homo sapiens, assembly GCF_000001405.40. Lineage (NCBI taxonomy): Eukaryota > Metazoa > Chordata > Mammalia > Primates > Hominidae > Homo > Homo sapiens. The sequence goes on along the minus strand of NC_000006.12, from coordinate 99,472,362 downwards.
GTGTCTGTAATCCTGGCTACTCAGGAGACTGAGGCAGGAGAGTTGCTTGAACTCGAGGTGGAGGTTGCAGTGAGCTGTGATCGCGGCACTGCACTCTAGACTGGGTGAGGGAGTGAGACACGTTCTCAAAAAAAAAAAAAATTAGTAAGTGAAGTTAAAAGTCATGTGAATGGATTAAAATTATGTCTTGGGGTTTTTTTTCTGTTGATATTATAAAAAAAGTAAAATATATCCCTGTCACTTTTTTCTGTTTTACCTCTATAATTTGATAGCAGTCTTTGTTATAATTAAATTATTGTTTAGTCGTAATGGTGCATTGGGATGCACAGTATCTTAGGCAGCCCAGCAGGACACATTGGTTTTGAAAGCTCTTATCTTTCTTGCACTATTTGAAGGCTTTAAATGGTGCAGTAAAATTAAAATGTCAAGTCTGTGGATCTATTCAATTTCATAAGCGAGGACAGTCCTGACGGTCAGCTACAGTATCAGGGCAGGAGCTGCATTGTCTGGCCTGGGAACTCCACAGCTGTTAATCATGCTGTTGTTGTAGGGTGTCACTGCCATGTGTTTCTTGATTGAAGGAAGGCTACAGTGTTATGTCTGCCACCAGAATCTTTTAGTAATGATGAAAAACTACTGACCTCCTTTCATATGGTTTCATTAAAGTCTTTTCTGAACTACAACATTGAGGAATATACTCTTGCTGAATATAGTACTTAAAGGATCATTTGTGCAGAAATTGTAAATTTTTCATGTACAAAATCAAATTTCCTAGAAGTAGTTCTTTTATAAGGCAGTCTTTTTAATTTATACATTTATGCTTCTTTGTTTTTTCCTTTTAATTTGCACAGTCACTAAATTAATGATACTATATTTTTATTATCTTCAAGATTTATTACTGTAATATATTTTTGGTTAGAATTATTTTAAAGACAGAATATCTCAGCTAAAACTGTACATTATTTTCATTCTTGTTTTTAAAGTATAAGGTGGAGATCTGAAATAGTTGAACCTTGATACTGCTAATTGATTAAGTGCTACAGTTATTAACAGCTCCCTGACCAAAGTATGTATCTTTCTTTTAACCTAAATTGTTCAAAGCACAACTCTTAACAATGAGGAATTGTATATGGACGTAAACTCATTTATTTTCCTCAACTTGATGAATTACCTATTAATTGACTTTTAAACAGTTTGGAGTAGAGAATATAAATTCACGGTTAGGATCAAAATTAAAAAGCAAAAGTCTAATATTTAAAAGTTAATAATGTAAACAATTTCATTTTACTCTTTTTAGAGTGTAATCACAGCTTTTTAGCTTTTTTCCTGCTGCTTGAATTGGTAACTTCTTAGCTTCTTTTGAGTGATATGACATTTCAGGATATATAGCAAAGTTTCATTAAATCATATCAAAAATCATGTCTGAATTAGTAAAATGTTTAAATTGTAGGATAAATTTACAGACTGAGTTGAGTTAGAAGTATTTCTCTTGAGTTGTTTGAAATGTTATGATTATCTGAAATATTTGCGAGTGAACATTGGTATTTATTGGAATTTTTCATTTAAGTTCATTAAATATTTCTCCTGCATGGAATTTACACAATTCCAATTTGCTTACTTTAGTTCAATAAATTCTTTTTTCAAGGTGTAAAAGCCAACTTTAGCTTAGACAATGTCTGAATTATATCAACTTTCAAATTTATTGAGTCTGAATTGGAGATTATTTCAGTATTTAATAGCTTCTGGGAGACATTTTATTGTTTGATTTCTTTATAGTATATAAGTGTATTTCAGGACTTGTGTCACACGGTATGAATTGCTTTATGTTTGCTTTTATCCCCTACTTTGTAAAATATTTAAGTGTTTTGAATCTTGTATTAATTTTCAAAATATGCTTGAGGACAGTGAACAGTTATAGGAAATATAATGTGTTAATCACAGGCCAGTTAGTAATAAGTGAAACTCGGTTTCACAATTGTTGGAGGAGGATGTGTTAAAAAACATATATCATACACAGAAGAAACATAAATCATACACAGCAGAACAATTCTGGGGGTCATGAGTGTCTTCTGCTTATCCAGGCAGCAGGGCATGGAGCGAGAATAAGAATGTGATCACCTCCTTCTCCATATAATATTGTGTTCTTAGATTAAAAGCATGTTATAATGGCAGAAGGGGATGTTGGTGTTGACAATATTTCTGATTCATAAGTCTCATTGCTCCAATCTGGGTTCTTTACCTCTCATATCTGATGTATAGGTGTCACTCTGGAATTCCTCCTAACCATGCTCCTGGGAGATCCCTTTGCCTCTCTTGTGTTTTGACTTTGCCATTGTTTATATCCCGTGTTCTTGTCTTTCTTCCTTTATGCTCTTTTTTTCCTTATTCAAAAGGTGGCATATACCATATATATAACTTGTACTTTGTCTTTTTTCACTTAATATATCATAGTGATCTTTTCCAATTAAAAGATAGGAAGGACCAGGCACCACCTGTAATCCCAGCACTTTGGGAGTTTGAGACCAGCCTGGGCAACATAGGAAGAGCCTGTCTCTACAAAACGAACAAACAAACAACAAAAAACAGGTGTGGCAGCTCATGCCTGTAATTCCAGCACTTTGGGAGGCTGAGGCAGGTGGCTTGCTTGAGCTCAGAAGCTCAAGGCCAGCCTGGGCAATATGGCAAAACCCCATCTCTACAAAAAAATTTTTAAAAATTAGCCAGGTGTCATGGTGTGTGCCTATAGTCCCAGGTACTTGGGAGGCTGAGGCAGTAGGATCACTTGAACCCAGAGAAGTCAAAGCTGCAGTGGGCAGTGATTACACCACTGCACTCCAGCCTGGGCAACAAAACAAGACTCTCAAAAAAAAAAAAAATATATATATATATATTATATATATATTAATTATATATATATTTTTTGGAAAGATAATTAAACTTTTCCCTCATCCTACTGTCATAATCTGAATTAGGAAGACAAAATTCATCCACTAATTAGGGGCATAGTTAATGTTAAAAGGTCACTTACTAAGTTTTATTCTTGGAGTATGTAGTTTTATTCTGAAACTTTTCTGTGAGATTGGATCTTTCCTAAAACATACACAAGAGATGTAGAAATAGTTAATATAAACCTTGTCATTTACTGAGAGCTGCTGAAAACATAATCATTATTGACAACTAAGTTCAAGTAAAACCATAATTAAAATTTGGGGGATTCTTCTTGCTATGGACATTAATTGATAAATTTGGACTTTAGTTATATGTGTATATAAATGAGGTAGTCCACATAGCATAGAGATTATAGTAACCAGCTTGATAGCTTCTTAATATAGAAAGGTCTTCATAGACAATAAATTTCATATGGTCTATTTTCTTTTTTGGTCCTAATTAAGAAGTGTCATTTTAGAGAGAGGGAGAAGGAAGAAAGAGGGCAAATTAATTTATGCTAAGCAACAGGACTAGGCTGCTTGCTTTTTGTACACTGATAAAAATACATTAAATCCAAGAGAGAACCTAAATGTAAAAATTCTGACTCTTACTTGGGAAAATTTGACATTAGAGCAATCTATTCATGGAATTTGAGACCTGGAAGAAATTACATTTTTTAAAAAATTTGGTCATTTTATTTTCAAACTAGGGAACTGAAATCCACAGTGTACCTTGCTGTTTGAAAGTACTTTTATTAGGAGGATGAGGCCTGAGTTAACTATTATTAGACCAGAATCTATTAACTTTGTTTTACAGCGAATACAAGCTAGCATTCTAAAAGCATTTAACAACCCAACTACTAAAACTGCTGATGATGAAACTAGAAAAAAAGTCAAAGGTATGTTGACTCTTTGTTAAAACTTTTTTCTTTAAGAAAATATTAAAATTTTATTTTAGTTGGAAAAAGAACTGAACATTATGTGAACTAATCCACCAAAGTAGTGGCTTTAAAAGGAGGACGTAGTTGCTGCAGTGTCTGAAAAATACTTTAGTGGAACATAGAAAATGCTAGAATGTATTCATGTGAATTTATAAGAATAAAGCTATACCAAGTATACAGATTGACACCGATACCTTTATGTGAGGTCTTCTAAGGGAAACTTGAAAGGTTGTTGAAAGTAGCAACCACACTTGGAAGTTCATATGTATCATATTGTATCATTTGACATGTGTTTGGATCAATGGATTTATGGATATTTTTTAGATGTAACTAGACAAAATGTTTAAGTGCTCCAAAGACTCCTGCAAATAAACCGTTTATTGAAGAGAGTGCTGGTAAGTCAAGTGTAAGTGCACTTTGCCTACTCCTAGTGTTTGCTATTCATCCATAAAAATATGAGCCCCAAATGATGATTACCTAATCAAAGTTGGTTATTTATCATTATCAATACTATATAGGGTTTATATACCTTGCCCTAAATGTATATTCTGCATTGAGATACTAACTAATGTTAGCATGAAGTGATTTTTAGAAGACATTTAAAAATATTATTTGTATTTTTTTCTAACTTTTGTTTTTGTGGTTTTATAATGTATGTACTACAGGTCTATAATTTGCAAACATACACACATTGTTACTGTGCACTTTATTGTAATTAAGGGTTCAAGATTTTTAAAAAACGTAGCTGCTCAAATATGCCTTGTTCTTTTGTGTTGAGATAGTGCCATCTCGTGGATGTTTAGAATAACAGCCCCGTTTTTCTTCCCCCTCTTTCCAGTTTTGTACTATTTCCAATCCCTTTTAGTTTTTCTAGAAGAAATATCTTTATTATTATAGTATTTCTAAATACAATTTTAATTAATGTTTACTGATATATTCACATGTTTTCTGTCATTCAGTGCTCTAATATTTTAAATGATTTTGAATATTGTTTGTATGAAACTTGAAGATAGAGGCTCAAAAAAGAAGTTTGAAAGAGGGGTGAATAGGTTTGTTAATATACTTTTTCCTCCCATGGTTTATGATGGAAAGTTTCAAATTTTTATTAAAGTAGAGAGAATAGCATAATGCAGCCCTTTATATCTGTCACCCAACTTAAACTGCGTTCATGGTTTATGTTTAATCCATTTTCTCCCAACCTCAGGTTATTTTAAACTAAGTCATTGGCATTTTTTTAATTTATAAATATTTCCTGAGCAGAATAATTTTAACTTTTAAAAATATAACCATGTTCTTGAGTTCTTAATTACCTATGTTAATTCCTTACACTTGCCTTTTACGACTGTTATTTTCATAGCCGTGATCCTGGCATCCGTAGTCCTGATAGCATAATCTCCTTTTCCATTCTTCTGGGTACTTATTGGTTAGACATGAGGTTTTATAAGTTTTAATGGGAGTGGTTGAGGTGTGGTACGAATAGTGGTTGTTTTGTTTTACCTCTTAAGAATAGTTCATTATTTCTTGGAGACTAAAGTAGTTGATAGTCGTAAATCTGCTACAAAATTGTAAAGGAGAAAGACTTTAGAATGTTGTATGTATAGTAAAATGTATTATTAAATGTAGTACAGAATATCTTATTCAGATTACTTTTGAATAACCAGAAGATAGCCTATTATACTGCTAGATGGATGGTTGACATGTTTTTTGCATTAAAAAGTATGATTTTTACAGCATATGGAAAAGAAGGTGTGAAAATGAACTTCATAGATCGGATCTTTATTGGTGAATTAACTAGCACGGTCATGTGTGAAGAATGTGCAAATGTAGGTACTTTAGAATTCAATTCAGCATGGAATGGATTACAATCACATCATTTTTATTATATTTTCTTTCACATATAATCATTGGCAGTCATTTTTAAAATTTGACAGATGATTACATAATGATTCTTGAAAGTCTTTTTATACGCTACACTCCTAGAAAGTAAATGTGATAATTTATATATTTTTAAAAGTAAATGTATTTTTGTGTTATTTTTCCTCATGACACACCTATGAGGCAGTTTTAGCCTATCTTAATATACTGAAATTCATTAGCTATCTGTTTGAAGTGAGAGAAAAACTTCTGTGAAGAGAGTAACTGTGCTACGTTGCAGTGCCCTAAAATGTAATTCCAGGCTGGGTGCAGTGGCTCATGCCTATAATCCCAGTACTTTGGGAGGCCAAGGCCGGCGGATCACTTGAGGTCAGGAATTCAAGACTAGCCTGGCCAACATGGTGAAACCCCATCTCTACTAAAAAAATACAAAACAATTAGCCAGGCATGGTGGTGGGTGCCTATAGTCCCAATGACTCGGGAGGCTGAGGCAGGAGAATCACTTGAACCCAGCAGGCAGGGTTGCAGTGAGCCGAGATCGCACTACTGCACTATAGCCTGGGTGACAGAGCGAGACTCAGTTTCAAAAAAAAAAAACTAATTCCAATAGAAATAACTTAATGTATTAACATAATTTAGGGTGGTTATATCACCTTTGATTTAAAGTTTATATGACGTATTAAAGATTTTTGTGTAGACTTCACTCACTTTGAACTTAATAATTTTTATTTTGAATGCCATCTTTAACAACTTAAAGCATGTATGAATTTTTTGTAGATTTTCAATTGCTTGGCAAGGAATATTTCTGTAAGTGTATGACTTAGAGTATGATAGGTTTAAATTTCTGTTAGATTTTAATAGTAAAAGGAGCCTTTATTCATTTTCCTGTCCCAGATTATGAGTATTTTTCTGTGTTCTCTAGCCTTAAAGAAGCAGGATTATAAAATATATCTCATTCTAGCCTGTCACATTGAAACACAGAATGCATGACCATGATTATTTAAGTTTCTAGACTATTCAACACAGAAGTTGTTTTCTCTCTCACAAGATAGAGAGTATCTTTTAAAACAAAATTATCTTAAAGAATCTATAAAACACAGCCAAGCTCTCTGCTTTTTTTCATGGCTTTTTCTTAACATTTCATAGTTTACTTATGTTACAGCCCTAAGCTAACCAAAAATGTCTAGTCTCTTTAGTTAATCTGTTTTATTAAACAGTTTTTTTAAGTTATTTTAAATATTACAGGCCAGTCATATTGACAGTAATATAAAATTCAATTGGATCACCATTCACTGATGTTTGAGAATATCTTGTTTTGATTAACAATGTGCTGCAATACCCAATTAAATTGCTATTTTTTTCAGGAACAGTTTTTAACGTAAAATTTTAGGTTGCCCGGGAAGTTTGATTTCTTTGTACTTTACAAAACTGTATGTTTATATTAGAATTCTAACTGAAGTTTTCAATGTGTTTTCCTTTTAAGATCTCCACGGTGAAAGATCCATTCATTGATATTTCACTTCCTATAATAGAAGAAAGGGTAAGGAGAAGAAAACTAATGATGAAGCTTTGGTGAAGAACATTTAATCATTTATTTAAACATTTGTTGAGTATATTACCAGATATCTGAGAGTCATTATTTTTTATATATAATTGAGTTTGTATTCATAATTGAGTCTGATTTGGGGGTTTGTGTAAGTATGCATAAAGTATGATGGTTTTTATTCTCAAGGAATTTAAACTCTTAAACACTTTTTATTTTGATAATTTGTTAATTTTTTGTATTTCAAGTCAGTCAAAAATTTTAAGATGAGGACATCCAGAATTTATTTACTAAAGAGGTTTTGGTTTCTGTATGTGGCATTTACATAGGTTTCAAAACCTTTACTT